>NC_000006.12:26726666-27029696 GCF_000001405.40 Homo sapiens
ATATCATTTTTTTCCCTCTGAGTTGATCTATAGATTTACTACAATCCCAACAAATATCCCAGCAGGAGATTTTTGTTTTGTTTGTTTTGTTTTCTTTTCTTTTTGTTTGTTTGTTTTTACAGAAATTGACAAGCTTATTCTGTAGGACCTAGAGTAACCTAAATAATTAGGAAAAGAAAAACAAAGTTAGAGGACTTACACCAGGTGATGTCAAGACTTATTATAAAGCTAAGGTAATCAAAATAATGTGGTATTGTCTCAAGGATACTTACCCAGATTGACGGAATAGAACAGATAGTCCAGAAACAGACCAACGTATGTGGTCAACTGATTTATGACAGAGGTAAAATGTTATTTAATGAGTTTTTTAAACAAATGGTCCCAGGCAACTGAGTATGGAAAAAATGATTCCCTACCCTTAACTCACATCCTATACAACAATTAAATCAAAATGGTTTATATACGTAAAGCTTCACGTTAAAGTTATCAAACTTGTAGAAGAAAAGAAGTCTGCACATATCTGATGTAGGCAAAGCTTTTTCAGAAGGAACCAGAAAAGCATGAGCCCTTACAAAAAAAGATACACTGGATTTCATAAAATATTAAAATGCTTTTTCTTTGAAAGACAATATTAAGAAAATGAAAAGGCAAGACATAGACTTGAAAAGAAATGTAATATATGTTATATGCACACATAGTTGTTATACAACATATGTGTTATGGATACACATATAACAAAGGACTTTTATGGAGAATATAGAACACATTTTAGAACTCAGTGATACAAACACTCAGTAAGGATAAGGGCAAAAAACTTGAGCAGGCATTTCACAAAATAAGATGCTTATATGGCCAATAAGGCACACTAAAAGATGTTCAACAACATTAATCAGTACAAAAATGCAAATTAAATCTATCAAGGATTAATAGGTAACAACAGATCTCAACTCCCCTGAATGGAGAAACAATTAGTAACACAGATACTAGATAAGTTACTTGAAGGATCAATCGATAAAAAGATACTTGGGCTTATTTCCAGGTTTGTGTTCTTAAAAAGTGATGCATTCAACAGAGCATTTGAGGTAACTGCTAATTAGGGACGGTACTTCCTTCTCTTTCATCTAATGGGAGAGTGAAATCAGATTAGAACTAGTGCTTTCCTAATGAGATCTTTTCTCTCTTTCTCAGGATCCCGACTCAGATTGAAAAAGCAGAGGATGGTCACTGCCTTCCAGGTCTGAGGCTGTCTCCCAGAAACTTCATTCCTCGCTTCGCCTTGGTAGGGAAGTTCCCGGAGGTGTTTGAAAAGCTGGAAACTTAAGTGGGACATGGAACGATATTTGTGTCCCGGTTATCAAAACAGGCAGAAAAGACAAATGCGGTGTGGGGGAATTGGCTCAAGCGGTAGAGCGCTTGCTTAGCATGCAAGAGGTAGCAGGATCGACGCCTGCACTCTCCAGCTTCTTTTAATCCCTAGGCTACCAATGGTATCTGGTAAATACTTTCAGCGGATTTACCGCTCTTTATTTGACTCAGTTTCATCTTGTTATGTACATTTTTTTTTTAAGGAAATTATACATAGCATTCCATGCAAAAGCAAAAAAGGAAGCGATTAGTCACAAGTGAGTTTTGCCAATACAGGTTTTGGGGCTTCAGCTCGAAGTTAATACAATGTATTTTTGTGGGGAAATCAAACTTTAGCCTTTTGGGTACAAAATATGAGGAACAGCCTGGAAATAGTGTCAGGAGGCAAAAGCAGGAGACTTGAATGTGCCAACCTTTTGCTTTTATTCACATTGACAACACATGGTCAGGTAGAGGATGAAAACGTGTCTTCTACCAGATTATCTGAGAGTTGGCCAGGCTCCCACCTTCACTTATACTCCTTCCTTACCTCTCTCCTGTGTAGGTAAGAGAGGTAAGGAGAGAGGTAAGGAAGGAGTATAAGTGAAGGTGGGAGCTAGCATATTAACTCTAGTGGTCGGATACACTCTCACTAAGAAAAGTGACATTTATTCCTTCTATTCATCTCTCTGAAAGCTCGTTCTGACAAAAATGTGCTCAAAATAAATGGGGACCTAGGTCTTCCTCTAATTTCCAAGATGAACCAAAACGTAAAAAAATGTATTTTTGAAATTGCAACACTATCCCCTATTTAAAGAAACTACATGAGGCGCTGTATTAACAACACATATGTTGACTAGCTCAACTGGCCCAAGCAGAGCTCAGAATGCTGGAGAGAGTGGTCTTTGGATAGATGACTCCAGGAAGCTCTTGTAGGTCCCTGGGACGTGCCCCTCTTTCCATCCTTCTTTCTTTCCCATCACTCAAATCTCTCTCTGACACCATTTGACTTCTCAGCATTGCCCTTTGTTAATCGTAATAGAAAGACAATGTTATTGATTACATGTTTTTCTATTTTATCTTCTTATTCATAAATGATCTCAAAAATGAATGTCATAAATAATAAACATGTTGTTGAATTTTTGTCCCATAGGAGCAGCCTCTTTCCTTCTCAGGATGTGCACTCCTAATAAACTGGGACCGTGAAGGAGGGACCTGAAGCTGCCCCAAACCACCTGCAGTTCCATGAAGGCCATGCCTCCACCCACTAATCACTCTGAAAGTAGTGCCCCTCCACTCTTCCCCAACCACATTTCCTTTTCAGGCAAAAACATTTCTATGGGTTTGTTAGACCCTAGCTTCTAATCCTTTCTTCAGTCTTTACTGATCTGAAGCCACTCTCTCCTTTGAGGCTTCTAAATTATCTGTATAGCCTTTCTCCATTCAGCAAATTTTCATCAGGCAAAAATCCTACTTGACGCTAGTTATACTCAGAGTAAAATAACTATGTTCCTGTCTTAAATGAGAATTCTTCACAGGTGGAAAGCAGATTTGGAATCCACTACAACTCCAAGGCAGTGGAGCTAATGTAGCCTCCCCTGGGCTACAGGGGAAGCCTTCTTCTGTGGGCCCGGGAATTGAAGAACTAGACAGGCATAAGAAGGACAAGTGTGGTGCCCAATGGAGCAAGAGAAGGGGGGAGGAAGGTGACAGGGAAGGGAAATGGCAGGAGAAGCACCTACACAGCAGACACGGTATAGCCTGCATCTGTTTTTCCTTTTGGCTGAGAGATCCCTGAGCTCTGTGGTGACAATTTTCCATAATTTTTCATATAAAAAATGAAGATTATAAACTATTTCTAGGCATTTTACCTGCATTACTATTAATATGTGTACAGCATCTAAAATAGGGTCTAGACGGCAATTGCACAGTACTATTACTTGCTATTGTTGTGGCACTTTCTATGTGGATCACTGGCCTCATCCACTGTGCCTGGTGCTGAAGAAGTGCTTCAGGAATGAATCCACAGATTGAGATGAAAATTCTCAAGCTTTCTCTTTCTCAACTCCTCCAAGGTTCTCCATCACTTTCTGAGTCCTACAGGAGGAAAGTGCTATTGAAGATGCGGCGCGTATGGCGTGAAGTTCTGGGGCTGGGAGAAGCTGCCCCACTACTTCCGGGCGGCCTTGCCTGCAGGGAGCAGGTGAGGATCACAGCTCTAGAGCGGGCTGCAATAGCTGTGCCCGCAAGCCAGGCAGTTCCGGGTGGTGCTTCTCCAACTGGAACGTGCTCTCTACTTCCGAGAGATGAAGAAGGCGAAATTGAGAAGTGAGGAGAGAGGTCTCCCTCATGACCTATTTTGGAAATCCGTATTCTTCACACTCTCAGGCTCGTAGAACTTTGCCCAAGGCAGTATCTGAGAAGCTCCGCCCTCAATCTTGTCCTGCCAGGGATTTGGCGGCCCAAAGTACCGGCAGGCTCCTGATAACCAGGAAAATGGGTGGGGGGTGGTGTATCCTCAGTGGGGAATTAGCTCAGGCGGTAGAGCGCTCGCTTAGCATGCGAGAGGTAGCGGGATCGACGCCCGCATTCTCCAGTTCCTTGTCCGGTTTATGTCTCTTGGTTTGTATACCCGCTTCTTTCTCCTGTTGACAACGGCGGTGCTTCTTACCTGGGAGAAGATCAGAGGAACCTGCCCCCTCCCCCGATCTCGTGTTTTACTGCTCCCCATGTAAGAGTCTTGTTGCCCCTGCTTCCATCCTCCCATGTTTTCCACTCCTGCCACAGGTTTGGCACTTCTAGCTACTCAGGTCTCAATGCAAATTTCCCGTCTTTAGACAAGTACAGCTAAAAGTGATGCCCACACGATCTCTCAATTCCTACTACATCTTCACAAATATCGTCTCCTCCAGAAAGTATGTCTTTAAGTTACTGGTTTGTTTTTCTCTCCCCTAGAGTGGGAGCTTCCTGAGTACCGAAACGCTGTCTATGTACACTGTGTTCAACTCGCTTCATCCCCATGCGTAGAGTTAAGGTTCTGTAAAATACGGTTACTGCCTTGAACAGATAAGGAAACAGGGAGATCAAAGACAGAGCAATACTTAAAAACATTATCCTGCCACATTTCTCAAATCTTAATAATAGCATTCACTAATGTTTTTGGTTTTTCTTTGTGCTTTCTCCATATCCCCTTATTATTATTATTATTTTACATTTGGCTGACCATTTTACACTTCTTTTTCAAATGACCAATCAGATTTTGCAATTTTCTAGTTAATTCCTGTGTTTCCTTCACCATTCTATTTTCTTTTTTTTTTTCTTTTTCTTTTTTTTTTTCGGGCTTCTTCTTCTTCTTCTTCTTCTTCTTCTTCTTCTTCTTCTTCTTCTTCTTCTTCTTCCTTCTTATATTTAATGCACTGATTTCTTCTAATGTTTTGTAACTTGGGTATTAAAAGGTGTAATTTAAAATGAGAAAGCAGTTTCTACAGAGTCCTTAGAAATATGTCATTTTAAGTCCCCATTTTCATTATATTCTAAGGAGCTCGAAGATATACTTTTGATTCTTTTCTAAACTGTGCATTCGAGAGTTAATCTCTTCTTGTTTACTTTTACGTTCATTCTTTCAATGTTATTTTCTAATTTTTGTGTATCATTTTGTTTATCAACACATAAATATGTACATTCACATAAGTATACGAGTTATATATACATGTATTTATGAATGGCAGCTGAACCACACATTAGTGCTAATATTGGTGACTAAAAGTTGGAGAACCAGACATTATGTACCTCATAAAGCGAAGCAATGGAAAGTGCACAAGCCCACCTATCAAATTGTCTTGTTAAAAGATTTGAAGCTGAATCTAAGTGAGCCTCTACTTGTAACTACCAGTTTACAAGAAATAGAGTAGGTGAAGAAACATGTCAAGGGGCAGGAAATAGATACAATGAAATAAATACAACATAGAGGTGTTTCTAAGGATAAAAGGCCCAGTTCCTTCAACAACTAACTGGCATTAACTCTTTATGATACTATAATGGTAAATATATGTCATTATACATTTGTTAAAAAAAAAAAAAAACCCAGGATGTATAACACAAAGAGCAAACTGTAATGTAAACTGTGGACTTCAGTTAACAATAATGTATTAGTAATTACTGGTTTACCAGTTGTAACAAGTGTACCATACTGATGCAAGATGTTAATAATAGGGAAAATTGTAAGAGAGGGAGAGTGATGGAGTTTATGGAAATTCTATCTATTCTGGTCAATTTTTCTTTAAACCCAGAACTTCTCTAAAAAATAATGTCTATCAATTTTAAAAAATAATATCCATAAAAGAAAGACCAGGGACCTTTTATGGATGAAAAGAGTCTTAAAAAACATAAAAATCTGTAGATTTTACTTTATTATTTATAATCAGCCATTAAGAGAAATTTTTTTTGTATGGGTGACAATCAGAAAAAAAAGTTAATATTAGATCATATTTATGATCTATTACCAATTTGTTAACAACAAGTACATACACACATGCAAACATGGCCCTAAAATTTCCTAGTTCTCTCAAGCTATTGATTTCATCATTCTCTCTGCTGCTGAGTTCAAGAAAGTGAAATGCGTAATGGGTATCTCTCCTTTCCCACCTTCCTTCCAGTTCACAACCTAGTGCTGTCCACTTGCATGGGATGTTTCTTTTCCATCACAATGCTCTGAGATAACTAAGTCAAGGGAAGTTTGCGCAGCCCTCCAGACCCTCCAGATTTCAAAGGAAAGCCCACCGCTGCTGGTCTGGGGGAGCTGATGGCCTATTCATGGATGAGATGGACTAAGGACAGTGGGAAGCACAATGGACCAACAGCATTGTTGGAGGGGACTGCGTGAGGAAGCAGGAGCCTAAACAACACTCTCCAGATACTGCGTGAACACTGTCTCCAGAGGGGTCTTGTAGCATCAAAAATTAAAGCTAAATGTTGATTTCTTTCTGGTAATTATTTTGTTCAGCAACCTGGAAAAACGAACAAAAATTATCTCATTCCCTTTCCTATTTAAAGCCTGAAATATTTAATTAAAATGATAAAACTTAAAAAAAGTGCTTATTAGGCCAGGCTCGGTGGGAGGCCGAGGCGGGGGCGGGGCGAATCACTGGAGGCCAGGAGTTTGAGACCAGCCTGGCCAACATGGCGAAACCCCGTCTCTACTAAAAATACAAAATTAGCTGGACGTGGTAGCGCACGCCTGTAATCCCAGCTACTCGGGAGGCTGAGGCAGGAGAATCGCTTGAACCTGGAAGGTGGAGGTTACAGTGGATCGACATCGCACCACTGCACTCTCAAAAAAAAAAAAAAAAAAAAAAAAAGTCTTTATTGAAAGTTTCAAACTTAAAAGTGCTCTCACATATAAATAAAATCATTTTCTCTATATACATGGTTTTTGCAAGTGTACATGTCTAGACACCCTAGGAATGGTGGTGCCGTGGTGTGAACGTGGAGCCTGGAATGGCCAGCCCCAAAACCTCCTCCTCATCAACTGTTGACTCGTCAACAGTCAGTCAGTAATCAAAACTTCCTTAAAATACAAAGAGCCGCAGAACATTCCGGGATATCTGTGCTACTTAATCTGGCAGTTCCTACTGTGTCTTGCCCCCGGTGTGACGTGCTCTCTTCCATGAAATTAATAACTGCAAACTGTAATGGGAACAATGCAATTGATTGTCTCCGCACTCTTGCCCAAAGCGTTCTCTGAGATGTTTGGTAGTTATTTGGGTCCTTACTTGACCTTCGTGGCCTTAAAACAAAGGGAACATGGCATTTGTGAATCTGAAAGAATTGTGATAATTTTCTCATTTCCTCCTGGCTGTGTGCATCACCCTGAGTTTGCGGAGGGATCAGCCCTTTTTCAGAGCCCCCTCACGTCCTGAGTATCATCCTCAGAATGTGGGGCTTGGGCTCAATTTGAAGAGGGTGTGAGGGAGAGCCAAAATGCAGGGATTGTCCCACAGTGCAGTCCTGCTTTGTAAACCCCTTCCTCTGACTAGCTTGATTTTAGTCTCTGAGAATGGATGGGGTGGGATGGCTTTTCAGTACTTTCTGCTGAGACATTTTTGTATATTCATTTCTCTCTCAAGGAGCCTCTGTAACAAAAGAGAAAAAACTGTCTCGGGTTCTGTGTGTGGCACATGAGTTTGAAGGATTTCTGAGACTATTGTTCAGGACTGGCGTTACAGATGAAATATAGATTCAGGACCAGTGACGGTGGGATCCTTGGCAGGCGGACATAACGCCTCGTTAAGGACAGACTGCCCACCACTCTCTTTCTTTCTTTCTCTCTTTCCGAAATCATTTTCTATAAATTCCACTGGGTATCAGAACCTTCCTTAGGCTGACTGGCGCTTCGCAGTCTCCTCTCCAAGCCCGGATCTATTCCCCAAAATTCTCTCGTTCATGCTTCTAGCTTCTCTTCTTAGCTTCTCTAGGTTCGCGTCATCGGCTTTCCTTGTTTCCCAGGTTGAATCCCCAGTTCCAAGCGGCTCCTGTAACAGGGAGTGGGAGCCCACCCTCCCACTCGCCGTGTAGCACTCTGCATCTCTGAGAAGAAAGTGACCACCCCAGCCCAGCACAGATTTTCTTCGTCTTTGAGCACCTGCTCGGAGTTCCCGCCCCTCGTCGCTCCTTGGTTTTCCCTCATTGCCTACATAGAGTCTGTTGGATGTCGGTCAAGGTATCCCCAGCCCCTGCCGTGGGAACCGTTTGGGGAAAAACAGACCTGATTTATTTATACTTCAAAGATGCCCAATGATTCCCTGTCGTCTGTGTACCATAAAAATAAAAACAGATAAAAATAAGAAGATCAATGTATTCGACATCTACACCCAGGCGTACAGCTCTCAGATGATCAACTGGGAAGCGACTGTTGCCCACCCAGAGGGAAGAAAGGGGCAAAGCCGGAGGATGAGGACGCGGACCCTGCAGGCCGCTGCCTCCCAAGTGAGCGGGTTACAAATTCCGCTAACCCCAGCCCGCCACCCCGCTATTGGCTATTTGAGGCATGTGGGGGATTTTTCCGGACTAGAAGTCTTGTGTTCCACCTGGTTTTTCGGGACCACTCAACATTCCTGAGCTCCATCCCTGCCAAGGTGGAGCCAGCACAGGACTGCAGGCGGAGTCTCCAGACTCATCCGGAAACAGCCACTGCGCGGAGCCGGGAGCGCGTGTCAAACGAGCACCCACAGAAGCTCTGGGCCCGACACGGTTCCACTTGCTTGATATTTCAGAAAAGAAGGAATTATACCTCAGCTGTAAAGGGAATACGGGTTACAGCTATCACAAGTGCCGGGAAGGTAAGCGTTCACTTGCAAAAGCTGCCCTCTCTGAGGCTCGAACTCAGGACCTTCAGATTATGAGACTGACGCGCTGCCCGCTGCGCTAAGAGGGCGACGAAGTGCATCAACGCGCCAGCTTCCACAGGAATTTCCTAATTTCTTTCCCCAGGCGGGTTATTTTGGGACTTCAGTTTTCTTCGCCCAAGGTCGCTAGTTTTCCAAGATTATTTCCAATAGGCACGCGTAGGCTCCTTTTTAGCCCATCGGAAGAACCTCACAATCGGAAGCCATAGTGTACTGAACAATTATGCCTGACCTCATTCTCTATTGATCTGGATCTTCGTCCCCTCAGAGATATAAGGCAATAATTACTGTCCACAGTCTCCTTAGTTGGAATAGCGGGCTCTCACTAAATGCTAGTTGAATGAATGAAAAGCTCCCAAACATGCCTGCAGTTTACACTTACCTCTCTTAATTTAAATTTGCATTTCCACTTATGTCACCTGAGATAGTCCCCTCAAAATATCACCAACTGATTTTATGATGAGTCTTCATGTTTTCTTCACCTCTATGTTGCAAATACCCTATTAAAGATTTTATTCCCGTAATTTCATTTAGTCCAATTTATTTATTTATTTATTTGCCATAAATCTATACATCATTATCCCCATCTTACTGATGAAACTGAGGCTCAGCAGAACTAAATCCACAGCTGATAAGGGGCAAAACCAGATCTTGAAAGCAGATTTTGTTTTCCAAAAAGCGTGCTGCCCTCTTTCTCCCTCTAGATCATGTAATCTCCCCTTTTCCTCTCCACACCACCACACTCATTTGTTAAGCAAATAGCTATAGAATTTTAGATTCGTTGGTCCATTCAACAAACTTTAATTCACCACCTGCCATGTACCCGGCATTTATGCTCTAGATTTCCAAGGCATCCTTGGCCCTTTATCCCTCACATCCCTACAAACACCTTAAATCATTAGTTCTCGAAGTGCGGTGCCCAGACCCACCACATAATTCTCGAGGACACATTCCATTTCAGGTACTGTGCTACCCGAAGGCTTTGAGGATTCAGAGGAAATTGAGCCATCCCTGACCTCAGGAGCTGACAGGACAAACTGTCCTATCTGGTCCGGTTCCTATACTCTCAAACTTCCGGATTCTTATAAATGCATCTTCCTAAATATTTTATTTTGATACTGTAACTCCCATTCTGCACTAGTTTGCTAGGGCTGCCATAATAAATATCATAGACTGAGTGCCTTAACCAACAGAAAATTTTCTCAGTTCTGGAGGCTAGAAGGGTTGTTAGCTTTGGTTTCTCCTGAGGCCTCTCTCCTTGGCTCGCAGATGGTCACTTACCTTCTTGCTATATTCTCCCACGGTCTCTCTCTCTACACATGTTTCCATCTTTTCTTATAAGAACTCCTATTGGGAGTTAGGGTTTCGACATGAATTTGATGACAGGTGGGGCGGGACAAAATTCCACCATGACAGGCTCAAAGTTGTTTACATTTTCACCCTCATATTTGCAGTAGACTTTGTTACTGGAAAACACTACTTGCTTTTTTTTTTTTTTAACACGTATTTTAAAGCCCCTTAATTAAACAGACCATATACCTTTCCTTATCTAGGAATTCCCATTCCAGTGCCTGGTCCACACATCCATTATTTCTCCTCATCTCCATTCCTCAAGGCCCATTCTTGATTCTTTCATTCTTATTTGAAAGAATGTAGCATGGAGGAATGTAGCATACTAGTTTTTCCCTCGGAATTGCATGACTCATTGTCATGCAAATTACGCAGTCTCAGGTGTTCCTTTTAGCAACACAAAGTAGACTAAGGTGTGTACATTTTTGTACTTGTCAAATGTGGTTAGAATACCAAATGAGGTACTGCCTCACAGATCCCTGAGATGTCATTACTTGGCATAACAAAATCATAATATAGATATCATAATAATGCATAAGCAGACAGGAAAAAACCATAATAATAACAAAACTCATTAAGGGATAGCCACGTAAGTTTATCAGTTAGTTCTCTCTAAACTCTGTAATATGAATGTGGCCAATCTCTGGGATTTAATAATACAAAAAACATGTTTTGGTCTCCCAGTGTCATTTTAATCTTATTCAGTAGGATATATTCTTTCCCTATCTCCATATGAAGACATACACAGTTTTATGCCTCATCCCAGGCAATACAGTCTCAGTCTCAAAGTTAAGATGCTGAGCTCCATGTAACACTCTAAAATTTAAACTTGACATAAAGATCAGATCTCTTCCTTTACCTACTGGGCCTGTTGAGTCAGCTAAAACTATTTGGATAGTTTTCTAAGGAAAATGTTTCATCTCTCTTTTCTTACCCTAACATTCTACCATTTGTTAACCACTGTTCTGAGACTTCCGTGTTTCAATCGTGGTGGAAGATGAGTTAAAGCCAGGGAGGGGTGGTGGGGAGAATAATAAAGTTCTTACTTTTAAATGGTGTTGTCATTAGCCAGTGTCATGCTTTCCATTCAGCTGTTTGAATACGAATAATTTTTTTAATACGATCCATGATTGTGGATTCTCGTGTGCATTTCCCTTGATGATGATGTACTCTCCTGTACCCCCTTCTTTATGACTGCTTTTCCAGCCACTGCAAAACTCAAAGCTTCCTTTTGCTTCTTTTTCCTTAGTTACGTTCATCCTTCCACATAGCCCACTGGGACTGGCTCAAAGTTGACCTCATGCTAGTGCTCCCTCTCTCCTGATTCCCACACCTGTCTTGTGGGAAAGGCCTACATCTGGTTGTCCCTGAAAAGCCCTGGGACTACAGGCCAATCCCAATATAGAAGGAACTTCAGGCAGTCAATCTGCCCATTTCTCCCCTTTACATTTCTCATGCATCTAACTACCGTATCTCCCATATTTTGGTGCCAGTGATTGAACTTGTTGGCACCTGTATTAGTCCATTGTCACACTGCTATAAAGAACTACTGGAGACTGGGTAATTTATGAAGAAAAGAGGTTTCATTGACCCACAGTGCCACAGGCTGTATAGGAAGCATGGCTGGGAGGCCTCAAGAAACTTACAATCATGGCGGAAGGCGAAGGAGAAGCAAGCATGCCTTACCATGGCAGAGTCGGAGAGAAAGAGCAAAGGGGAAAGTGTTACACACTTTTCAACAACCAGATCTCAGGAGAACTCACTCATTGTCATGAGAACAGCATGAGGGAAATCTGTCTGGAACAGGTTTGTGAACCCATTGAGGTGTTCATCCAGTGCTGTTTCAGAGAAATCTCTATTTCAATCTATTCCTATACATTAGTTACTGAAAAACAACAGACAATCACAAAAACAAGTTGACCTTTTTGTGATCCTTGAGCCCAGTTGCGAAGGGCCCTCGTGACCGGGCCTCATGCCAAACAACTCGTTACAAAAAGAGCTAGGGTTCCAGACTGGGCTGAAGCTTCATGAGACTTCTCCTCGTCTGTGCGCAGACAGCTGGCCAACTCTGGAGCCCAGGCTGTTGCTTCCCGGTCTGTTGGTGAATCCTCCATAGTCTGGTGAGTGTGTATATACATATATATGTATATACTTTGAGAGGCCGAAGTGGGCAGATTACTTGAGGTCAGTAGTTTGAGACCAACCTGGACAGCGTAGCGAAACCCAGTATCCACTAAAAATTCAAATATTAGCCAGGCATGGTGGCATGCACCTGTAGTCCCAGCTACTTGGGAGGCTGAGGCAGGAGAATAGCTTGAATCCAGGAGGTGGAGGTTGCAGTGAGCCGAGACCACGCCACTGCACTCCAGACTGGGAAACAGAGCAAGACTCCGTCTCAAAAATAAATAAATAAATAAATAACGTTTTTTAAATTTAAGAATAGATGTTTGAGGAATCTTCTCAAAGAGGAAAAAAAGAGGACCTGCCTTATATTGGGGATTGTTTCATTATGGGACACCTTTAGAAGCAGCCTGGAGTGCAGCCTGGAGTGCATATAAATATATGTCTTTTTCCTTCCCGTTGCAATTTGCTTATTATATCAGTCTGCTTATTATTTCAATTTGCTTACTATATCATTTGCTTATTATATCTGCATTGCCATTTACGTGGGATAAAGGTTGTTTACCCTTAAAGGTATTGTGTGTGTGTCTTTTCTTCTCCCCTTACACGTCTTCCACACAGAACATGTACACTTGTATCTACAGGTGCATGTGTGTGTATGTAGACGTGATTGCACACATGTTTATGTATACATGTCTGTGTACACCACATGCATGTGTAAATGTATGTGTGTACACGTGTATGCATGTGTGTATGCATACAGGCATGTACACATATGCACAAAGGTATCTACACATACATGTGTATACATGCATGCATGTTTATGTATACATGCATGTACACCGTATGTATGTGTGTATGTATGTGTGTATTTGCTGACACATATGCATATGCATACATGCAAGTACATGCATGTACACACGTAGCTGCACATTCATATGTGTATGTATACATGTATATACACGTGCGTGCATGTGTGAGTGTATAAAGATATGTACACATGCATGTGCAAATGCATGTGGGTGTGTGTGCATGGATGTATGTGTATCCATGTATCGTGTACACAGTATGCATGCATGTATTTGTGTAGATATATGTGCAGATAGACATGTGCTCACATGTCTGCATGCATGTGTGTACATGTGTGTTTACCCACCTACGTGTGTATGCACATGTGTACTCATGCATGCACACACGTATGCATACATGTATGCATTGTGCACATGTGTGCACATATGTTTTTATGAATAATGTATATATACATACACGTATACACCATGTATACCAGCCTACAAATGCATCTGTGCACACACGTGAAAGCATGTGTATGCCTGAATACAAGTGTCCATATTTACGTGTGCACATCCACACATACATGTCTACACACACACGTGTGTGCACACATGCATGTGCACACACAAAAATTTGTGTGCAAATACATGCATGCACACACATACATGCATGACATATATGTGTACATGGATATGTGGGTATACCTGCATGTGCATACACACGTGCACTTGCATACACAGATGCACCCATAATACATGTATATATACATACATGTTTACACACAAAAGCACGATGCATACATGTACTCAAACATATATCTGCATGCGCACGTACTTGTGCATACAAATGCACATGTCTACCCACACATGCATTCAGACGTCTGTGCACATGTATACATACACTTATACGTACAAACATACAAACACATATACACTCATACATGTGTGCACACTCACATATGTACACACATGCATGTGTACAAATACATGTGTGCGTCTGCATGCATTTGGGCATATTCATTGATTGTGTACACAGTATGTATGTGTCCATGTATGTGTGTATACGCATATGTGTAGATGCATATGTGTACATTAACATGCATGTACACTCATGTAAACATGCATCAACACATTTGTACACGTATTTATTCGTGTATCAGGTTTGTATACACGTACCTAAACATGCATGCGAGCATTCGTGCATGTATGTACACGAGAATGCATATGTGTATGCATACGTGTATGTACACATATAAGCACAGGCATCTACACGTGTGCGTGCGCACCTATGTGCACACTTATGTATACATGTATGTGCACGTGCATAAATGAATTAAGAAAGAAACAATTCACCCAAACAAGGAGGAAAAGATGAACATCTCAAGTACCTATGAGCATTTTTACATGCAGACCCCTTACTGACATTGGCCAAGACAGATGACAAGAGATCATCAAGGAGAGAGTTCATTAGAAGAAGATACTGCTAACATTAGAGAAACATAGCATCAATCACCCATAGCATGGATGCTGTTGAGCTTCCACCTGAAAAACAAACAACAACAACAACAAACCTGGCGGGTAGAAATAGGAACAGGTTTAGCATACATCCCTTCCTCCTTTTCCTGGGATCTGCATTGGGCCCCGTAAGCTTGGCATGAACCTAAGTGAATAAGACACCAAAGGACTGAAGTTTACCACTACCTTCAGAATTAGGACTCAGAGCCAGGAATTTCTTTAGACTACACAACCAGTCTATGCATATGGGAGGTTTTGGACTGTAGTTCACACTGGCTGCGCTTCCTTATGGAAACAGTGACTACAAGATGGAGGATATTAATGAAAGATAGCACACATCCATACTAAATGTCATAACAGCAAAAACCATAAGATAGTTACTGACAATGAGTCATGCAATTCCGAGGGAAAAACTAGTATGCTACATTCCTCCATGCTACATTCTTTCAAATAAGAATGAAAGAATCAAGAATGGGCCTTGAAGAATGAAGATGAGGAGAAATAATGGGTGTGTGGACCGCGCATTGGAGTGGGAATTCCTAGGTAAGGAAAGGTATATGGTCTGTTCAATTAAGGGACTCTAAAATACTTGTTAAAAAAAAAAAAAAAGGAAGTAGTGCTTTCCAGTAACAAAGTCTACTGCAAATCTGAAGGTGGAAATTTAAACAACTTTGAGCCTGTTACGGTGGAATTTTGTCCTGCCCCACCCGTTACCAAATTCATGTCGAAACCCTAAATCCCAATAGGCGTTCTTATAAGAAAAGATGGAAATATGTGTAGAGAGAGAGAGACCATGCAAGAATACAGCAAGAAGGTAAGTGACCATCTGCGAGCCAAGGAGAGAGGCCTCAGGAGAAACCAAAGCTAACAACTCTTCTAGCATCCAGAACTGAGAAAATTTTCTGTTGGTTAAGCCACTCAGTCTGTGATATTTATTATGGCAGCCCTAGCAAACTAGTACAGAGCGGAAGAGTTACAGTATCAAAATAAAATATTTAGGAAAATGCATTTATAAGAATCCGGAAGTTTGAGAGTATAGGAACTGGACCAGATAGGACAGTTTGTCCTGTCAGCTCCTGAGGTCAGGGATGGCTCAATTTCTTCTGAATCCTCAAAGCCTTCGGGTAGGACAGTACCTGAAATGGAATGTGTCCTCGAGAATTATGTGGTGGGTCTGGGCACCGCACTTCGAGAACTAATGATTTAAGGTGTTTGTAGGGATGTGAGGGATAAAGGGCCAAGGATGCCTTGGAAATCTAGAACATAAATGTCGGGTACATGGCAAGTGGTGAATTAAAGTTTGTTGAATGGACCAACGAATCTAAAATTCTATAGCTATTTGCTTAACAAATGAGTGTGGTGGTGTGGAGAGGAAAAGGGGAGATTACATGATCTAGAGGGAGAAAGAGGGCAGCACGCTTTTTGGAAAACAAAATCTGCTTTCAAGATCTGGTTTTACCCCTTATCAGCTGTGGATTTAGTTCTGCTGAGCCTCAGTTTCATCAGTAAGATGGGGATAATGATGTATAGATTTATGGCAAATAAATAAATAAATAAATAAATAGGACTAAATGAAATTATGGGAATAAAGTATTTAATAGAGTATTTGCAACATAGAGGTGAAGAAAACATGAAGACTCATCATAAAATCAGTTGGTGATATTTTGAGGGGACTATCTCAGGTGACATAAGTGGAAATGCAAATTTAAATTAAGAGAGGTAAGTGTAAACTGCAGGCATGTTTGGGAGCTTTTCATTCATTCAACTAGCATTTAGTGAAAGCCCGCTATTCCAACTAAGGAGACTGTGGACAGTAATTATTGCCTTATATCTCTGAGGGGACGAAGATCCAGATCAATAGAGAATGAGGTCAGGCATAATTGTTCAGTACACTATGGCTTCCGATTGTGAGGTTCTTCCGATGGGCTAAAAAGGAGCCTACGCGTGCCTATTGGAAATAATCTTGGAGAACTAGCGACCCTGGGCGAAGAAAACTGAAGTCCCAAAATAGCCCACCTGGGGAAAGAAATTAGGAAATTCCTGTGGAAGCTGGCGCGGCATTATACTTCGTCGCCCTCTTAGCGCAGCGGGCAGCGCGTCAGTCTCATAATCTGAAGGTCCTGAGTTCGAGCCTCAGAGAGGGCAGCTTTTGCAAGGAAAGCTTACCTTCCTGGTACTTGTTATAGCTGTAATCCACACTCCCTTTACAGCTAGGGTATAATTCCTTCTTTTCTAAAATATCAAGCATGTGGAATTGTGTCCGGCCCAGAGCTTTCCCACAGTAGCTGTCTAGGGGTGCGCTTTCGACACGCGCTCCCGGCTCCGCGCAGTGGCTGTTTCTGGATGAGTCTGGAGACTCCGCCTGCAGTCCTGTGCTGGCTCCACCTTGGCAGGGGTGGAGCTCAGGAATGTTGAGTGGTCCCGAAAATCCAGGTGGAACACAAGACTTCTAGTCCGGAAAAAAACCCCACATGCCTCAAATAGCCAATAGCGTGGTGGGGGGCTGGGGTTAGCGGAATTTGTAACCCGCTCACTTGGGAGGCAGCGGCCTGCAGGATCCACGTCTGCATTCTCCAGCTTTGTTCCTTTCTTCCCTCTGGGTGGGCTACCTTCGCTTCCCAGTTGATCACCTCAGAGCTGTACGCCTGGGTGTAGATGTCGAATACATTGATCTTATTTTTATCTGTTTTTATTTTTATGGTACACAGACGACAGGGAATCATTGGGCATCTTTGAAGTATAATAAATCGGATCTATTTTTCCCCAAATGGTTCCCATGGCAGGGGCTGGCGATACCTTGACCGACATCCAACAGACTGTATGTAGTCGATGAGGGAAAACCAAGGAGCGACGAGGGACAGGAACTCCGAGCAGGTGCTCAAAGAAAATCTGTGCTGTGCTGGGCTGGGGTGGTCACTTTCTTCTCAGAGATGCAGAGTGCTACACGGCGAGTGGGAGGGTGGGCTCCCACTCCCTGTTACAGGAGCCGAGGGAAGTTAATTTTATGACAAGAAGACCTCTCGGCTTCTTGTAACTGGGGATTCAACCTCGGAAAAAAGGAAAGCCGATGACGCGAACCTAGAGAAGCTAAAAAGAGAAGCTAGAAGCAGGAACGAGAGACTTTTGGGGAACAGATCCGGGCTTGGAGAGGAAATCGCAAAGCGTCAGTCAGCCGAAGGAAGGTTCTGATACCCAGCGGAATTTATAGAAAATAAATTCAGAAACAGAGAAAGAAGGAGAGTGGTGGGCAGTCTGTCCTTAACGAGGAGTTATATCCGCCTGTCAGGGATCCCATCGTCCCTGGTCCTGAATCTTATTGGCGTTTAATCTGTAACGCCAGTCCTGAACGACAGTCTCAGAAATCCTTCAAACTCATGTGCCACACACAGAAACCGAGATACTTTTTTCTCTTTTGTTATAGAGGCTCCTTGAGAGAGAAATGAATATACAAAAATGTCTCAGCAGAAAGTACTGAAAAGCAATCTGTGGGGAAAAGAAAGAGAGATCAGACTGTTACTGTGTCTATGTCGGAAGAAGTAGACAAAGAGACTCCATTTTGTTCTGTACTAAGAAAAATTCTTTTGCCTTGAGATGCTGTTAATCTGTAACCCTACCCCCAACCCTGTGCTCGCAGAAACATGTGCTGTGTCGACTCAAGGTTTAATGGATTTAGGGATATGCAGGATGTGTTTGTTAAACAAATGCTTGAAGGCAGCATGCTTGTTAAAACTCATCACCACTCCCTAATCTCAAGTACCCAGGGACACAAAACACTGTGGAAGGCCGCAGGGACCTCTGCCTAGGAAAGCCAGGTATTGTCCAAGATTTCTCCCCATGTACTATTCTGAAATATGGCCTGGTGGGAAGGGAAAGACCTGACCGTCCCCCAGCCGGACAGCCGTAAAGGGTCTGTGCTGAGGAGGATTAGTAAAAGAGGAAGTCCTCTTTGCAGTTGAGATAAGAGGAAGGCATCTGTCTCCTGCTCCTCCCTGGGCAATGGAATGTCTTGGTGTAAAACCCGATTGTATATTCTATCTACTGAGATAGGAGAAAACCGCCTTACGGCTGGAGGTGAGACATGCTGCCTGCAATACTGCTCTTTAATGCACTGAGATGTTTATGTATGTGCACATCAAAGCACAGCACTTTTTTCTTAACCTTGTATATGATACAGAGACATTTGTTCACATGTTTTCCTGCTGACCCTTTCCCCACCACTACCCTGTTGTCCTGCCACATCCCCCTCTCCGAGATGGTAGAGATAATGATCAATAAATACTGAGGGAACTCAGAGACCCGGGCTGCGCGGGTCCTCCGTAAGCTGAACACCGGTCCCCTGGGCCCACTTTTCTTTCTCTATACTTTGTCTCTGTCTCTTTTCTCAGTCTCTCGTCCCACCCGACGAGAAACGCCCACAGGTGTGGAGGGACAGGCCACCCTTTCACGATCCCACCCCATCCATTCTCAGAGCCTGAAATCAAGCTAGTCAGAGGAAGGGATTTACAGAGCGGGACTGCATTGTGGGACAATCCCTGCATTTTGGCTCTCCCTCACACCCTCTTCAGATTGGGCCCAAGCCTCACATTCTGAGGATGATACTCAGGACATGAGGGCGCCCTGAAAAAGGGCTGATCCCTCCGCAAACTCAGAGTGAGGCACACAGCCTGGAGGAAATGAGAAAATTATCACAAGTCTTTCAGATTCACAAATGCCATGTTCCCTTTGTTTTAAGGCCACGAAGGTCAAGTAAGGACCCAAATAACTACCAAACATCTCAGAGAACGCTTTGGGTAAGAGTGCGGAGACAATTGCCTTGTTCCCATTACAGTTTGCAGTTATTAATTTCATGGAAGAGAGCACGTCACACCGGGGGCAAGACACAGTAGGAACTGCCAGATTAAGTAGCACAGATATCCCGGAAAGTTTTGCGGCTCTTGTATTTTAAGGAAGTTATGATTACTGACTGACTGTTGATGAGTCAACAGTTGATGAGGAGGAGGTTTTGGGGCTGGCCATTCCAGGCTCCATGTTCACACCACGGCACCACCATTCCTAGGGTGTCTAGACATGTATAAGTGCAAAAACCGTGTATGTAGAGAAAATGATTTATTTAAATGTCACAGCACTTGTAAGTTTAAAAATTTCAATAAACACTTTTTGTTTTTGAGACTGCAGTGGTGTGATCTTGCTTCACTGTAACCTCCACCTTCCAGGTTCAAGCGATTCTCCTGCCTCAGCCTCCCGGGTAGCTGGGATTACAGGCGTGCACTACCACATCCAGCTAATTTTGTATTTTTAGTAGAGACGGGGTTTCGCCATGTTGGCCAGGCTGGTCTCAAACTCCTGGCCTCCAGTGATTCGCCCCGCCCCCGCCTCGGCCTCCCACCGAGCCTGGCCTAATAAGCACTTTTTTTAAGTTTTATCATTTTAATTAAATATTTCAGGCTTTAAATAGGAAAGGGAATGAGATAATTTTTGTTCGTTTTTCCAGGTTGCTGAACAAAATAATTACCAGAAAGAAATCAACATTTAGCTTTAATTTTTGATGCTACAAGACCCCTCTGGAGACAGTGTTCACGCAGTATCTGGAGAGTGTTGTTTAGGCTCCTGCTTCCTCACGCAGTCCCCTCCAACAATGCTGTTGGTCCATTGTGCTTCCCACTGTCCTTAGTCCATCTCATCCATGAATAGGCCATCAGCTCCCCCAGACCAGCAGCGGTGGGCTTTCCTTTGAAATCTGGAGGGTCTGGAGGGCTGCGCAAACTTCCCTTGACTTAGTTATCTCAGAGCATTGTGATGGAAAAGAAACATCCCATGCAAGTGGACAGCACTAGGTTGTGAACTGGAAGGAAGGTGGGAAAGGAGAGATACCCATTACGCATTTCACTTTCTTGAACTCAGCAGCAGAGAGAATGATGAAATCAATAGCTTGAGAGAACTAGGAAATTTTAGGGCCATGTTTGCATGTGTGTATGTACCTATTGTTAACAAATTGGTAATAGATCATAAATATGATCTAATATTAACTTTTTTTCTGATTGTCACCCATACAAAAAAAATTTCTCTTAATGGCTGATTATAAATAATAAAGTAAAATCTACAGATTTTTATGTTTTTTAAGACTCTTTTCATCCATAAAAGGTCCCTGGTCTTTCTTTTATGGATATTATTTTTTAAAATTGATAGACATTATTTTTTAGAGAAGTTCTGGGTTTAAAGAAAAATTGATCAGAATAGATAGAATTTCCATAAACTCCATCACTCTCCCTCTCTTACAATTTTCCCTATTATTAACATCTTGCATCAGCGTGGTGCATTTGTTACAACTGGTAAACCAGTAATTATCAATACATTATTGTTAACTAAAGTCCACAGTTTACATTACAGTTTGCTCTTTGTGTTATACATCCTGGGTTTTTTTTTTTTAAACAAATGTATAATGACATATATTTACCATTATAGTATCATAAAGAGTTAATGCCAGTTAGTTGTTGAAGGAACTGGGCCTTTTATCCTTAGAAACACCTCTATGTTGTATTTATTTCATTGTATCTATTTCCTGCCCCTTGACATGTTTCTTCATCTACTCTATTTCTTGTAAACTGGTAGTTACAAGTAGAGGCTCACTTAGATTCAGCTTCAAATCTTTTAAGAAGACAATTTGATAGGTGGGCTTGTGCACTTTCCATTGCTTCGCTTTATGAGGTACATAATGTCTGGTTCTCCAACTTTTAGTCACCAATATTAGCACTAATGTGTGTTTCAGCTGCCATTCATAAATACATGTATATATAACTCGTATACTTATGTGAATATATATATTTATATGTTGATAAAATGATACACAAAAATTAGAAAATAACATTGAATGAACATAAAAGTAAACAAGAAGAGATTAACTCTCGAATGCACAGTTTAGAAAAGAATCAAAAGTATATCTTTGAGCTCCTTAGAATATAATGAAAATGGGGGCTTATAACGACATATTTCTAAGGATTCTGTAGAAACTGCTTTCTCATTTTAAATTACACCTTTTAATACCCAAGTTACAAAACATTAGAAGAAATCAGTGCATCAAATATAAGAAGTAAGAAAAAGAAGAAAAGAAGAAGCAGAAGCAGAAGAAGGAAAAGGATAAGAAGAAGAGGAAGAAGAAGAAGAAGAAGAAGAAGAAGAAGAAGAAGAAGAAGAGGAAGAAGAAGAAGAAGAAGAAGAAGAAGAAGAAGAAGAAGAAGAAGAAGAAGAAGAAGAAGAAGAAGAAGACGGTAGCCCAAAAGAAAACCAGAAAATAGAATGGTGAAGGAAACACAGGAATTAACTAGAAAATTGGAAAATCTGCTTGGTCATTTGAAAACAAATGGAAAATTGTCAGTCAAATGTCAATGATAATAATAATAATAAGGGGCTATGGAGAAAGCACAAAGGAAAACCAAAAAACATTAGTGAATGCTATTGTTAAGATTTTAGAAATGTGGCAGGTAATTTTTTTAAGTATTGCTTTGTGTTTGATCTCCGTTTCCTTATACTACTCACCTCATCTGTTCAAGGCAGTAACCGTATTTTATAGAACCTTAACTCTACACATGGTGATGAAGTGAGTTAAACACAGTCTACATAGACAGTGTTTCGGTACTCAGGAAGCTCCCATTCTAGGGGAGAGAAAAACAAACCAATAATTCAAAGACATACTTTCCGGAGGAGACGATATTTGTGAAGATGTAATAGGAACTGAGAGATCGTGTGGGCATCACTTTTAGCTGTACTTGTCTAAAGACGGGAAATTTGCACTGACACCTGAGTACCTAGAAGTGCCAAACCTGTGGCAGGAGTGGAAAAGAAGGAAGGATGGAAGCAGGGGCAACAAGACTCTTACACGGGGATCAATAAAACACGGGCTCTAGGGAGGCGGCAGTTTCCTCTGATCTTCTCCCAGGTAAGAGGCACCGATGTCATCAACAGGAGAAACAACGGGGAATACAAACTAAGAGACATAAACCAGACAAGAAACTGGAGAATGCGGGCGTCGATCTCGCTACCTCTCGCATAGCTAAGCGAGCGCTCCACCGCCTGAGCTAATTCCCCAGAGGAGAAACTTTTCACCCCACCCATTTTCCTGGTTATTAGGAGCATGCCGGTGCTTTGTGTCGCCAAACCCCTGGCAGGACCAGATTGAGGGCCGAGCTTCTCAGATACTGCCTTCAGCAAAGTTCTATGAGCCTGCCAGTGCGAAGAATAGGGATTTCCAAAGAAGGTCATGAGGGAGACCTCTCTCCTCACTTCCCAATTTCGCCTTCTTCATCTCTCGGAATCAGAGAGCACATTCTGGATGGAGAAGCACCACCCGGAACTGCCTGGCTTGGGGGCACAGCTATTCCAGCACGCTCTAGAGTTGTGATCGTCACCTGCTCCTTGCCGCCACCGCCGCCCGGAAGTGGTGGGGCAGCTTCTCCCAGCCCCAGAGCTTCACGGCATAGCCGCATCTTCAATAGCACTTTCCTCCTGTAGGACTCAGAAAGTGATGGAGAACCTTGGAGGAGTTGAGAAAGAGAAAGCTTGAGAATTTTCATCTCAATCTGTGGATTCATTCCTGAAGCACTTCTTCAGCACCAGGCACAGTGGATGAGGCCAATAATCCTCATAGATACTGCCACAACAATAACGAGTACTGTGCAACTGTCATCTAGGCCAGATACCATTGGTAGCCTAGGGATTAAAAGAAGCTGGAGAATGCAGGCGTCGATCCTGCTACCTCTTGCATGCTAAGCAGGCACCCTACCGCTTGAGCTAATCCCCCACACTACACTTGTCTTTTCTGCCAATTTTTATAACCGGGACACAAATATCGTCTTATGTCCCACTTAAGTTTCCAGGTTTTCGAACACCTCCGGAAACTTCCCTACCAAGGCGAAGCCAGGAGTGAAGCTTCTGGGAGACAGCCTCAGACCTGGAAGGCAGTGACCATCCTCTGCTTTTTCAATCTGAGTCCTGATCCTGAGAAAGAGAGAAAAGATCTCATTAGGAAAGCACTAGTTCTAATCTGATTTCACTCTCCCATTACATGAAAGAGAAGGAAGTACCGTCCCTAATTAGCAGTTACCTCAAATGCTCTGTTGAATGCATCACTTTTTAAGAACACAAACCTGGAAATAAACCCAAGTATCTTTTCACTGATTGATCCTTCAAGTAACTTATCTTTATCTAATATCTGTGTTACTAATTGTTTCTCCATTCAGGGGAGTTGAGATCTGTTGTTACCTATTAATCCTTGATAGATTTAATTTGCATTTTTGTACTGATTAATGTTGTTGAACATCTTTTAGTGTGCCTATTGGCCATATAAGCATCTTATATTGTGAAATGCCTGCTCAAGTTTTTTGCCCTTATCCTTACTGAGTGTTTGTATCACTGAGTTCTAAAATGTGTTCTATATTCTCCATAAAAGTCCTTTGTTATATGTGTATCCATAACACATATGTTGTATAACAACTATGTGTGCATATAACATATATTACATTTCTTTTCAAGTCTATGTCTTGCCTTTTCATTTTCTTAATATTGTCTTTCAAATAAAAACATTTTGATATTTTATAAAATCCAGTGTATCTTTTTTTGTAAGGGCTCATGCTTTTCTGGTCCCTTCTGAAAAAGCTTTGCCTACATCAAATATGTGTAGACTTCTTTTCTTCTTTTCTTCTACAAGTTTGATATCTTTAACGTTAAGCTTTTTGTATATAAACTATTTTGATTTAACTGTTGTACAGGATGTGAGTTAAGGGTAGGGAATCATTTTTTCCATACTCAGTTGCCTGGGACCATTTGTTTAAAAAAACATTTTACCTCTGTCATAAATCAGTTGACCACATACATTGGTCTATTTCTGGACTATCTATTCTATTCCATCAATCTGGGTAAGTATCCTTGAGACAATACCACATTATTTTGATTACCTTAGCTTTATAGTAAGTCTTGAAATTACTTGGTGTAAGTCCTCTAACTTTGTTTTTCTTTTCCTAATTATTTAGGTTACTCTAAGTCCTTCAGAATAAGCTTGTCAATTTCTGTAAAAACAAACAAACAAAACAAAACAAAAACTCCTGCTGGGATATTTGTTGGGATTGTACTAAATCTATAGATCAACTCAGAGAAAAAAAAAGTTATCTAAATAATATTAAATTTCTCAATCTGTAAATATGGCAAACACCACCAATTATTCAGGTTTTCCTGAGTTTTTCTCAGCAATCTTTAGTAGATTTCTAGGTACAAGTCTTGTGCACATTGACAAGTTTATCTCTAAATATTTCATTTGTTTTAAACCTATTGAAAGTGGTAATTTAATTTTCCATTTTTTTGATGCTAGTACATAGAAATACAATTAATTTTTGTATATTGTAATCTGTGACATAGCTGCATTTACTTATAATGCTTATTTTTGTAGATGCATTAGGATTTTTTGTGTATCTGATCATGTTGCTTGCAAACGAATATATTTTTCTTATTCTAAAGTGAGTATGCCATTTATTCTTCATTCATGCGTTCCTTACTTTCTGACACTAGCTAGGACTTTCAGTAAAATGTAGAAGTAGTAAGGACAGATATTTTGCACTTTTCTCCAATATTAAAGGGTACATATTTATTCTTCCACTATTAACTCTATTGCTAGTTGTAGGACTTTCTTAAACGCCCATTATTCATCTGAGGAATTTTCCTTCTATTCTTAGCTTACTGGGATATTTTTTAAACACCACGAATGAATGGCAAATTTGGTCCAATATTTCTTCTGCATCTAGTGAGATGATTACATGTATTTTTTGTTTTGTTAATGTGGTATATTACATTTAATTGACTTTTCAATGCCTAACTAATTTTTTATTCCCGAGGCAATCTCCCCTAACTCATGGTGCATTATGCTTTACAGATAATGCTGGATTCAATTTGTTAATATTTTAATTCAGTATCTGTTGGTAAATGTGTCAGAGAAGGGTCTCCAAGTGTGGAACGCGCCGCTTTCACAGCTCAGAGAAACATGGTGAGCACAGTGCTCCCTTCTAAGTGACGGGAGCTTCGAGATACAACAATGAGACTTTACTTTGGAGGAAATGTCTCAGAATTTCACAGATCCTAAAAACTTTCATTCACGAACCAGGTCGATGAATGGTTTCTGTGTTTCTCTCCCACCCTCTGGAGCATGCAGGGCTTAACAAAATCTGCAACTTACTTGACACTTCTTGCTCATCGAAGATTTAAATGATACTATCAATACAGTGTACCAATGTTTTGCTGTTGGTGCAGACAGTTCAATTCTCTTTGGACTAGATTAGGAAAAATTGGGGGACTTGATATACCTCTGGAGTAAGAACATAAATGCATACTTTTGTCTAGTCCATGTGAATATGAACTGTTTCTGTTCTTTCTTCCTGATAACAATAGAAAAAATGCATTCCCCAAATCAAAGACTGCATGCCAAAGACCATGTAATTTTTGCTTTTATGTTCATATTGTTTATAACATGATTACTTTATTAACTTTACATTCCAATTCTATTTTCTTATGTATTCAAGTGAAAAGTGTTAATTATGAGAAATTCTGCACTATGGCACTGCTAATATTGCAATCTATATCCCAGACTTCGTTTTACCGACAGAAGAAAGCATACCCTCATCAATTTGTCATGTCTTCGGAAGAAGGGACATGGGTTTGTAGTGGAATTCATGACTTTTTCTGCCTGAACATTAATTAGCAGAAGCATGTTCCATTTCTTTATATAGACCCACTCTTAGAACCAAGGTGAACTGAGTGAAAAAGATACTTGCCTTTATGTTTCTCTTATCAAACTAACCATTCTTGAATCTACCTTTATCACTTTTCTCCCAGGACCTCCTAGTGGAAGAAACTGTGAAAATGGCTGGTGTCACTTCAGACGCAAAAGGAAAAGTGGCACATCATGTTCAGAATCCGATTAAATAGTGTCAGCAATTATTACCTCTGCTTAAAGGATTCAGAGCTGAGTTTGTTCAGCTACCCTGCCCTGACTAATGGCATCATGCAGGTGTACTTAGAAGTAAATTTAAAACTCCCCGTTACTTTAGGATCACATATCTCCTAGGGTAATTGCAGGAGTGATTGGGAAAGAGCAGTCTACTCTGAGGAGGTCAGATGGAGACCAAGTGAATCCTGTAAAATACAAGTAATGTCATATGACAAAAACGCAAATCCAACACTACTAAGTCTTGGATTTCTTCTTTGTTTCCTTGATTAATTTTCTTGCTTCGCTCCAAAAATCATAGCATAAAGCAAATTATTGTTCTACCTATTGCTTTCCACTTTACTCATCTTTCATCTGGTGTCTGTGTGATTATGTCTCCATTAGAGACTGAGACCTGTTATTACCTATTAAATCCCTTCATTCCAGGATGTGGAACTAATTAGATAAGTTTCAGATTGTTGAATTTAGTGGTTATTTTAGAGGTAATTAGATCGTTAAATTTAACACTTGTAGCTCCACATGATGATGGAGTGCAAATATCTATTTATTCATAAATATCCATAGGCAGGGATCAGAACCAACATTGAGAAGACCCACTCCCTCCAAACAAGACGACCAAGAAAACAAATTGATTCTACTACCTTGGATTTATTAAACTTGCTGAGCAAAGAGCCGTACCTCTATGGAGTCCCAGTACTGCCTAAAACAAGGGTGAGTCAGAGACCAGAATTTAAAGGGTCTGGGGACTGGAGCTATTCATAGGACACTTTTAGGGGGAAAGTTAGTAAGGTCCTTCTGAGGAGGGACTAGACAATTTCTAAACTAGGCGAATCATAGGTTTATTCCGTGGAACTTAGCTGCTGGAACATGAAGATCTGCCCAGTTGCTGGATCCGTTTGGCTTTGGTCTTACCTTGGATCATCGGGTCTGAGTAAACTGATGTTAAAACAACTTGAGCTTAGTGTGGCATGGCAGGGTTTGTAGACTTGTCCTGTGCTGTAAGTCACAGGGCTTTTGCAACTTCTGTGTTTGTTCATTTCTCAATTTGTCCTTTTTCCTCACCAACAGGACTGCCCGAGTTCAACTTACAGTATAGCTACTGGAACTTAGCTCTGAAAAGGCCCTCTGCAAATCTAGAACACTCGTTTTTTTTTTTCCAAATAAGAAAGTTGAGGAGCAAAACGACGTGTCTAACGTCACACATTGAGCTAAAGACAGATGGGATCTGACATGCATTGTCAGCACAAATACAGCGCTTTTAAAAATCATACGGATTTTGTGTCGTGAGGCACTCAGGACTCAGCTGATCTCGGCGTTCAGTCGTGCGTGATTTTGGATTTGCACCTCGCCCTTGGGCAAGTGCAGAATCCTGGGGTTATACAAAGCACATCACAGTTAACCCCTTTGTCCCAGTCCGCAGAATGAGAGCTCGGAGCCCGGCCATGGGTGGCTCGGTTATATAGGCAGGAAAATCAAGGAACCCAGGTGTGAGCAGGGGCGTTTGTGGCGCGGAGAGAGCTCCTGTCCTTGCCGTCCACCTATTTCTCAGGCTTGGCCCCTGGCGTGTAGAAAACCGCATCTCCGGAAAACCCAGAAAGTTACGTCGCCCAGGTACTCTCTTGTCATTCTCCGGGATGTAAAAGACTCAGGGTCTCTTCACGGATCACTGAAACCGCCTTCTCCGAGGCCTCCAGGGTGACTAAAGAGAGGGTGGGTGTTCTGTGTTCTCCCGCCGGTGTGTTCCTCTTCATGTCCAACCGCTTGTGTCTGTGCCCGCTAGGGTCTCGGGGGTTTTTATAGGCACAGGATGGGGGCGTGGCGGGCCAGGGTGGTCTTGGGAAATGCAACATTTGGGCGCGGAGGAAGAAGTGCCCCTCCTCACCTAGGTTCATGGGCACAGGCCCGGGGGTGGAGTCTTGCTCCCCTCCCGTATCAGTACCAGGGTTAGTGCTCTGCTTTATGGCCGCAGCAATCTCAGACACTTCCGAAGCGTGTTTTTTTTCTTGTTCCTTTTCGGGCGCCAGCTTTCAAACCAGACCAAAGGTGTGTGTTTTTCCCCGATTGTCTCCCAGCCTTCTTTCCTTTTCGCCTCTACTCAAGGCTGTGTCCACAATTAAGCTCTCAGGAGGAGGAGGCCTCCAGCTGCCTCAAAGAAGGGCATTTCTCGCAGTGCAAAGTGCGGAAGAGGGGAGCCATACCGACTGAAGTATTAACCAGAGTCGGTTTGCACAGAGGCGGCAATGGATAGAATTTCAGAAGTGAGGCGGAAAGACAGGCCAGCCCTGCGAAAGATGGATTGGAGAGAGGTGAGAATCTAGTTCAAAAGCCGGGAGAAGGAACAGGACATTAGCACAATAGTCTAGGCAGAGAGCTGGACCATCTGTAATACAGCAAGGGGGTTGGTTGAGACTTCTTTTATTTAATTATTCGAAACGTATCTATTGAGCTATTTATTAGTCCCTGGGTACTGTGGGTGTTCCTGCGTATTCAACCACCTTGTCGACGCTGCAGGATGCGGCCCCATTACCCAGGACCCAAAGAACTTCCAAAAATGAATCCCGAGGAACAGCTGTTTCTCTACTGGAGAAGTGGGCAGCCAGGCGGAAACACGCAGGGAAATAGTTCTCTTTGGGACAGAAGGCATCAACCTCGTAAGACCCAGCGATCAGCAGAGCTCCCGGAGAGTGTTTCTTAATCTAAAGGTCATGAGTCGGGCTGCAAAGTTGTCTTGTCGTGCGTAAAATACCAATGGACTTATACCTGTTTCATCGAGAAGGAATACAATGCGAACACAAAGACTGTAATGGAACGTATTTCTCTAAAGTGTCCTTTTCAGATAGAAATACGAGAGCGTTTTCCTGAGTTTTCTAAAAATGGGGTGGGGTAGGGATCAAATACTCACTTCTGGGAAACATGGGCTAATACAGTGGGAATCGTGCTGGAAGTTACGAGCAGAGGAGCCTGGGTGGGGACTTATATTGGCCTTGACGGCCCGTGGAAAGAAACTGGCGGTAATTCCTTCCGTTTTCCGTCAATTTCTTCACGGGTTGCTCAGAAGCTACGGAAGCAAAGTAGAAAGGAGTGAGAAGGGCAGGCCAAAGTACCGGCGGAAGGTGATGGCGTTGCGTTTAAAAGGGTGGTCACTGAAACCCCTTGTCATGAAACAGTGAAGCAGGTGACATTTGAACTTTCCTTCCTCAGAATTGTATTTTAATTGAAATGTCAGGGTTCGGAGAAATTTGCCGAGGATCATAAACAAGTTAGCAAAGATCGCAGGTTCTTTCCAGTTCCGAGAAGTTCAGAAAAGTTTCTTTGGTGATTGAAATAACGTTCGCCTTTAAACTTCTCAAGAGGTTTAGGGGGGGTTTTAGTAAGCGGGGCCGGTTAGCTCAGTTGGTTAGAGCGTGGTGCTAATAACGCTAAGGTCGCGGGTTCGATCCCCGTACTGGCCAGACGTGACTTTTTAATGTTCATCTTACAGTAACAGTTGTGTGCAGTGATATCAAAAGTCACGGGAGAACAAGAAAAGAAATTTAATAAATGGTGCTGGGAAAACTGGCTAGCCATATGGAGAAAGCTGAAACTGGATCCCTTCCTTACACCTTATACAAAAATCAATTCAAGATGGATTAAAGATTTAAACGTTAGACCTAAAACCATGAAAACCCTAGAAGAAAACCTAGGCATTACCATTCAGGACATAGGCATGGGCAAGGACTTCATGTCCAAAACACCAAAAGCAATGGCAACAAAAGACAAAATTGACAAATGGGATCTAATTAAACTAAAGAGCTTCTGCACAGCAAAAGAAACTACCATCACAGTGAACAGGCAACCTACAAAATGGGAGAAAATTTTCGCAACCTACTCATCTGACAAAGGGCTAATATCCAGAATCTACAATGAACTCAAACAAATTTACAATAAAAAAACAAACAACCCCATCAAAAAGTGGGCGAAGGACATGAACAGACACTTCTCAAAAGAAGACATTTATGCAGCCAAAAAACACATGAAAAAATGCTCATCATCACTGGCCATCAGAGAAATGGAAATCAAAACCACTATGAGATACCATCTCACACCAGTTAGAATGGCAATCATTAAAAAGTCAGGAAACAACAGGTGCTGGAGAGGATGTGGAGAAATAGGAACACTTTTACACTGTTGGTGGGACTGTAAACCAGTTCAACCATTGTGGAAGTCAGTGTGGCGATTCCTCAGGGATCTAGAACTAGAATTACCATTTGACCCAGCCATCCCATTACTGGGTATATACCCAAATGACTATAAATCATGCTGCTATAAAGACACATGCACACGTATGTTTATTGCGGCATTATTCACAATAGCAAAGACTTGGAACCAACCCAAATGTCCAACAATGATAGACTGGATTAAGAAAATGTGGCACATATACACCATGGAATACTATGCAGCCATAAAAAATGATGAGTTCATGTCCTTTGTAGGGACATGGATGAAATTGGAAATCATCATTCTCAGTAAACTATCGCAAGATCAAAAAACCAAACACCGCATATTCTCACTCATAGGTGGGAACTGAACAATGAGATCACATGGACACAGGAAGGGGAATATCACACTCTGGGGACTGTGGTGGGGTGGGGGGAGGGGGGAGGGATAGCATTGGGAGATATACCTAATGCTAGATGACGAGTTAGTGGGTGCAGCGCACCAGCATGGCACATGTATACATATGTAACCAACCTGCACAATGTGCACATGTACCCTAAAACTTAAAGTATAATAAAAAAAAAAGAAAAAAAAAGAAATGCATATGTACTCAGTAATCTACACAGACTTTTAATGCTTGTTTCACAGTAACAAACGTGTGCAGTGATACAGACAGTCACAAGAGAACACGAAAGTAAATGTATTTGTACCCAGTAATCTTGATGGGACATAGTTCGCTGAATCGTAGGGTTGCGTTTCCAGTTTAGTGTTCCTGCAAGAGCAGATGATGAGGAGAGGTGAGATTCCAGAAAGAAATTGAAATCCGGGAGGAACGTGAAAAACAGGCGAAAACACGGAAATAAGGACCTGGGCTTTTCATCCTTTTATGATTTCCAAAGTGTACAAATCTTTCTCTGTCGTGACTAACTCCTGATATGGGCTTTCCTAACTGCATCTGCTTACTTCCCGCAGACCTGTCCTTGGCTTGTGCAGGGTAAGTAAAGCCTCTCAAGAACTCCCATTTTTCATTTCTATTTCCTCCCTTTTAGCTTCCCACACTCAACTCGAGAGATACTGGAATTAAGGAAATGTCCCATAGAACGCTGAGCCTTTCACCTCCCCTTTGCTCGTCTCACGGCTTTGTTAGACACGAAACCATCTTCTGGAAAATGTCTTCCCTGACACCTCTCCTACTTTTCTGAGTTTGGGTTGCTTTCCTCCTAGCACTCACGGAGATCCAGGTAAGCATTTGTTTTAGCGGCATTCACCATGTCGGGATTGTCTGTTGCTTGGCCATCTTCTCCATGAGATCATAAGCTTCTTGGGGGTAGGATGCTTATTGCTAAATACTTTTAAAAGTCTGCATGAATCAATGAAGAGTGAGGGATATGTGTGCAGGCATGATGGAAAGAGTGTCTTGTGGTCCAAATGGGCTTCACGGGTCTGTAGAATCCATGCTATCGCAACATAGTGCATTTTGGTCAGATGAACAATAGGCTACACTATATGGTGATTGGTTCCATTTCGCTGAGGGTACCTCTAAGGCTCTGAGTGGCTCTATATGCCCCCAGGACTGGATAGTGGTAAAGGACAGAGCATGCGCAATAGATCCAAAGTCAGGCAAGGTCTGAAATGTTTAACTTTGCTGAGGCTGAGAGACAGGAATGAACCCTCTTCCGCGATGGGAATTTCTACTCCACTGATCCATAGTAAATAAAACAGCGAGCCAATGCACCTCAAACCTCTATTTTCTACTACATAAATGTGATTGGTTTTGACATTTTCAAAATTCAAGTGATCACAATGATTTAGAACTAATGTTTACAAAACTATAATTTAGGAAATCCTTAGCTGTAAGCAGACACACCTACACAGAATAAAGAGAGTGATATGCCCTTTACTTCAGTGTCATTTATAACACTGGGGTAATAATACTTGGGGAAGCTGAAAAACTATATTGACCGATTTACGTGAAAATTAAGAAACATTCAGTATAATTTCTGGCACATAGTCCTGAAAAAGTCCTTGTATGCGGAATATTGTTCACCTTTAAGGAAAATGCTTTAAAGGTCTGAGGAGAGATATTAATGCATTTCTGTTGCTACTGGCTGTTTTGCTCATGTAGTTGTAGCAACAAGCTTCTGTGAACATGAAAATGAAATAACGCTTAAAAAAACAAAATAGATGGTGGAGGAACACAATAGGGATGCATAGTAAGGTATGATTTTCTAGACAAAAATTGATTTGTACAAAAGAATGTAGTAAAGGATTTGTACCTGATTCTTTTTTGTATACCCTTTGAAGCTTATTTAGCTTATATTCGAAAGCCTCAATTGTCATCCTTCTCCCAACAAAACTGTTTCTCTGTACCACGAACATTCTGGTCAGATTCTCTGCTTAAGCATCTTGACGTCTTGAGCACTCATCTTCGTACTGAGACCCCGATATATGCCCAAATGATGCCCTTCCACAGGAGGGTTTCTTGCTTTGCTCAAAGAGCAATCAATTTTTCAAGCAATTTAGGGCTCTTTCCTCACCCAGTGTCTATGTGAAAACTTAGAGGGAAGGGAAGAACACATGCCTGTTCTTTCCAGGAAAAGAATCCTGATGGGTTCTAACCTCAACCTGTAAATCCACTAAGCAAGTTCCTACTGAACACCTATGATGCAAGCTCAATCCTGGAGGCCAGCACTCCACAGGGGGAAGGCAACCAAAGCAGTAGGTAAATGTTTACTGAGCACTTCTTTTTGATCAGATCCAACTCTAGGTGCTGGGATCCACCCAAAGAATCCCACAGTCCTTATTTCCCATGTACAGAAAGAAATTTGCAGTAGACTTTGTTACTGGAAAGCACTACTTGCTGTTTTTTTTGTTTTTTTTAACAAGTATTTTAGAGTCCCTTAATTAAACAGACCATATACCTTTCCTTATCTAGGAATTCCCACTCCATTGCGTGGTCCACACACCCATTATTTCTCCTCATCTTCATTCTTCAAGGCCCATTCTTGATTCTTTCATTCTTATTTGAAAGAATGTAGCATGGAGGAATGTAGCATACTAGTTTTTCCCTCGGAATTGCATGACTCATTGTCAGTAACTATCTTATGGTTTTTGCTGTTATGACATTTAGTATAGATGTGTGCTATCTTTCATTAATATCCTCCATCTTGTAGTCACTGTTTCCATAAGGAAGCGCAGCCAGTGTGAACTACAGTCCAAATCCTCACATATGCATAGACTGGTTATGTAGTCTAAAGAAATTCCTGGCTCTGAGTCCTAATTCTGAAGGTAGTGGTAAACTTCAGTCCTTTGGTGTCTTATTCACTTAGGTTCATGCCAAGCTTATGGGGCCCAATGCAGGTCCCAGGAAAAGGAGGGAGGGATGTAATGCTAAACCTGTTCCTATTTCTACCCGCCAGGTTTGTTGTTGTTGTTGTTTGTTTTTCAGGTGGAAGCTCAACAGCATCCATGCTATGGGTGATTGATGCTATGTTTCTCTAATGTTAGCAGTATCTTTTTCTAATGAACTCTCTCCTTGATGATCTCTTGTCATCTGTCTTGGTCAATGTCAGTAAGGGGTCTGCATGTAAAAATGCTCATAGGTACTTGAGATGTTCATCTTTTCCTCCTTGTTTGGGTGAATTGTTTCTTTCTTAATTCATTTATGCACGTGCACATACATGTATACATAAGTGTGCACATAGGTGCGCACGCACACGTGTAGATGCCTGTGCTTATATGTGTACATACACGTATGCATACACATATGCATTCTCGTGTACATACATGCACGAATGCTCGCATGCATGTTTAGGTACGTGTATACAAACCTGATACACAAATAAATACGTGTATAAATGTGTTGATGCATGTTTACATGAGTGTACATGCATGTTAACATACACGTATGCATCTACACATACACGTATACACACATACATGCACACATACATATTGTGCACACAATCAATGAATATGCACAAATGCATGCACACGCACACATGTATTTGTACACGTGCATGTGTGTACGTATGCGTGTGTGCAAACATGTATGAGTGTATATGTGTGTATGTACTTATAGGTGTATGTATACATTGCACAAACGTCTGAATGCATGTATGGGTACACATGTGCATTTGTATGCACAAGTACGTGCGTATGCACATTTATGTTTGTGTGCATGTATGCATCGTGCTTTTCACGCAAACATGTATGTATATATACATGTATTATGTGTGCATGTGTGCATGCACGTGCACGTGTGTATGCACATGCATGTATACCCACATATCCATGTACACATATATGTCATGCATGCATGTGTTTGCACACGAATTTTTGTGTGTGCACATGCATGTGTGCACACATGCGTGTTGTACACATGTATGTGTGGATATGCACACGTATGTATGGACACTTGTATTCAGGCATACACACGCCTTCACATGTGTGTGCACAGATGCATTTGTAGGCTGGTATACATGGTGTATACGTGTATGTATATATACATCATTCATACAAACATGTGCATACATGTGCACAATGCATACATTTATGCATACATGTGTGCATGCATGCATACACACATGCATACGCATGTGCATGCATGCATACACACATGCATACGCATGTACATGCATGCGTACACACGTGCATACACACGTACGTGGGTAAACACATACACATGTACACACATACATGCAGACGTGTGAGCACATGTCTATCTGCACATATATCTACACACATACATGCATGCATACTGTGTACACAATACATGGATACACCTACATCCATGCACACACACCCACATGCATTTGCACATACATGTTTACATATCTTTACACACTCACACATGCACACACGTGTACATACATGTATACATACACACGTGAATGTGCAGCTACGTGTGCACATGCAAGTACATGCATGTATGCATATGCATATGCGTCTGAAAATACACACATGCATACACACATACATACGGTGTACATGCATGTATACATAAACATGCATGCATGCATGTATACACATGTATGTGTAGATACCTTTGTGCATGTGTACATGCATGTATGCATACACATGCATGCACGTGTACCCACATACATTTACACATGCATGTGGTGTACACAGACATGTATACATAAACACAGGTGCAATCACTTCTACATACACACATGCACCTGTAGATACATGTGTACATGTTCTGTGTGGAAGACATGTAAAGGGAGAAGAAAAGACACCCACACAACACCTTTAAGGGTAAACAACCTTTATCCCACGTAAATGGCAATGCAGATATAATAAGCAAATGAAATAATAAGCAGACTGATATAATAAGCAAATTGCAATGGGAAGGAAAAAGACATATATATATATATATATATATATATATATATGTATATACATATATATGTACACTCACCAGACTATGGAGGATTCACCAACAGACCGGGAAGCAACAGCCTGGGCTCCAGAGTTGGCCAGCTGTCTGCGCACAGACGAGGAGAAGTCTCATGAAGCTTCAGCCCAGTCTGGAACCCTAGCTCTTTTTGTAACGAGTTGTTTGGCATGAGGCCCGGTCACGAGGGCCCTTCGCAACTGGGCTCAAGGATCACAAAAAGGTCAACTTGTTTTTGTGATTGTCTGTTGTTTTTCAGTAACTAATGTATAGGAATAGATTGAAATAGAGATTTCTCTGAAACAGCACTGGATGAACACCTCAATGGGTTCACAAACCTGTTCCAGACAGATTTCCCTCATGCTGTTCTCATGACAATGAGTGAGTTCTCCTGAGATCTGGTTGTTGAAAAGTGTGTAACACTTTCCCCTTTGCTCTTTCTCTCCGACTCTGCCATGGTAAGGCATGCTTGCTTCTCCTTCGCCTTCCGCCATGATTGTAAGTTTCTTGAGGCCTCCCAGCCATGCTTCCTATACAGCCTGTGGCACTGTGGGTCAATGAAACCTCTTTTCTTCATAAATTACCCAGTCTCCAGTAGTTCTTTATAGCAGTGTGACAATGGACTAATACAGGTGCCAACAAGTTCAATCACTGGCACCAAAATATGGGAGATACGGTAGTTAGATGCATGAGAAATGTAAAGGGGAGAAATGGGCAGATTGACTGCCTGAAGTTCCTTCTATATTGGGATTGGCCTGTAGTCCCAGGGCTTTTCAGGGACAACCAGATGTAGGCCTTTCCCACAAGACAGGTGTGGGAATCAGGAGAGAGGGAGCACTAGCATGAGGTCAACTTTGAGCCAGTCCCAGTGGGCTATGTGGAAGGATGAACGTAACTAAGGAAAAAGAAGCAAAAGGAAGCTTTGAGTTTTGCAGTGGCTGGAAAAGCAGTCATAAAGAAGGGGGTACAGGAGAGTACATCATCATCAAGGGAAATGCACACGAGAATCCACAATCATGGATCGTATTAAAAAAATTATTCGTATTCAAACAGCTGAATGGAAAGCATGACACTGGCTAATGACAACACCATTTAAAAGTAAGAACTTTATTATTCTCCCCACCACCCCTCCCTGGCTTTAACTCATCTTCCACCACGATTGAAACACGGAAGTCTCAGAACAGTGGTTAACAAATGGTAGAATGTTAGGGTAAGAAAAGAGAGATGAAACATTTTCCTTAGAAAACTATCCAAATAGTTTTAGCTGACTCAACAGGCCCAGTAGGTAAAGGAAGAGATCTGATCTTTATGTCAAGTTTAAATTTTAGAGTGTTACATGGAGCTCAGCATCTTAACTTTGAGACTGAGACTGTATTGCCTGGGATGAGGCATAAAACTGTGTATGTCTTCATATGGAGATAGGGAAAGAATATATCCTACTGAATAAGATTAAAATGACACTGGGAGACCAAAACATGTTTTTTGTATTATTAAATCCCAGAGATTGGCCACATTCATATTACAGAGTTTAGAGAGAACTAACTGATAAACTTACGTGGCTATCCCTTAATGAGTTTTGTTATTATTATGGTTTTTTCCTGTCTGCTTATGCATTATTATGATATCTATATTATGATTTTGTTATGCCAAGTAATGACATCTCAGGGATCTGTGAGGCAGTACCTCATTTGGTATTCTAACCACATTTGACAAGTACAAAAATGTACACACCTTAGTCTACTTTGTGTTGCTAAAAGGAACACCTGAGACTGCGTAATTTGCATGACAATGAGTCATGCAATTCCGAGGGAAAAACTAGTATGCTACATTCCTCCATGCTACATTCTTTCAAATAAGAATGAAAGAATCAAGAATGGGCCTTGAGGAATGGAGATGAGGAGAAATAATGGATGTGTGGACCAGGCACTGGAATGGGAATTCCTAGATAAGGAAAGGTATATGGTCTGTTTAATTAAGGGGCTTTAAAATACGTGTTAAAAAAAAAAAAAAGCAAGTAGTGTTTTCCAGTAACAAAGTCTACTGCAAATATGAGGGTGAAAATGTAAACAACTTTGAGCCTGTCATGGTGGAATTTTGTCCCGCCCCACCTGTCATCAAATTCATGTCGAAACCCTAACTCCCAATAGGAGTTCTTATAAGAAAAGATGGAAACATGTGTAGAGAGAGAGACCGTGGGAGAATATAGCAAGAAGGTAAGTGACCATCTGCGAGCCAAGGAGAGAGGCCTCAGGAGAAACCAAAGCTAACAACCCTTCTAGCCTCCAGAACTGAGAAAATTTTCTGTTGGTTAAGGCACTCAGTCTATGATATTTATTATGGCAGCCCTAGCAAACTAGTGCAGAATGGGAGTTACAGTATCAAAATAAAATATTTAGGAAGATGCATTTATAAGAATCCGGAAGTTTGAGAGTATAGGAACCGGACCAGATAGGACAGTTTGTCCTGTCAGCTCCTGAGGTCAGGGATGGCTCAATTTCCTCTGAATCCTCAAAGCCTTCGGGTAGCACAGTACCTGAAATGGAATGTGTCCTCGAGAATTATGTGGTGGGTCTGGGCACCGCACTTCGAGAACTAATGATTTAAGGTGTTTGTAGGGATGTGAGGGATAAAGGGCCAAGGATGCCTTGGAAATCTAGAGCATAAATGCCGGGTACATGGCAGGTGGTGAATTAAAGTTTGTTGAATGGACCAACGAATCTAAAATTCTATAGCTATTTGCTTAACAAATGAGTGTGGTGGTGTGGAGAGGAAAAGGGGAGATTACATGATCTAGAGGGAGAAAGAGGGCAGCACGCTTTTTGGAAAACAAAATCTGCTTTCAAGATCTGGTTTTGCCCCTTATCAGCTGTGGATTTAGTTCTGCTGAGCCTCAGTTTCATCAGTAAGATGGGGATAATGATGTATAGATTTATGGCAAATAAATAAATAAATAAATTGGACTAAATGAAATTACGGGAATAAAATCTTTAATAGGGTATTTGCAACATAGAGGTGAAGAAAACATGAAGACTCATCATAAAATCAGTTGGTGATATTTTGAGGGGACTATCTCAGGTGACATAAGTGGAAATGCAAATTTAAATTAAGAGAGGTAAGTGTAAACTGCAGGCATGTTTGGGAGCTTTTCATTCATTCAACTAGCATTTAGTGAGAGCCCGCTATTCCAACTAAGGAGACTGTGGACAGTAATTATTGCCTTATATCTCTGAGGGGACGAAGATCCAGATCAATAGAGAATGAGGTCAGGCATAATTGTTCAGTACACTATGGCTTCCGATTGTGAGGTTCTTCCGATGGGCTAAAAAGGAGCCTACGCGTGCCTATTGGAAATAATCTTGGAAAACTAGCGACCTTGGGCGAAGAAAACTGAAGTCCCAAAATAACCCGCCTGGGGAAAGAAATTAGGAAATTCCTGTGGAAGCTGGCGCGTTGATGCACTTCGTCGCCCTCTTAGCGCAGCGGGCAGCGCGTCAGTCTCATAATCTGAAGGTCCTGAGTTCGAGCCTCAGAGAGGGCAGCTTTTGCAAGTGAACGCTTACCTTCCCGGCACTTGTGATAGCTGTAACCCGTATTCCCTTTACAGCTGAGGTATAATTCCTTCTTTTCTGAAATATCAAGCAAGTGGAACCGTGTCGGGCCCAGAGCTTCTGTGGGTGCTCGTTTGACACGCGCTCCCGGCTCCGCGCAGTGGCTGTTTCCGGATGAGTCTGGAGACTCCGCCTGCAGTCCTGTGCTGGCTCCACCTTGGCAGGGATGGAGCTCAGGAATGTTGAGTGGTCCCGAAAAACCAGGTGGAACACAAGACTTCTAGTCCGGAAAAATCCCCCACATGCCTCAAATAGCCAATAGCGGGGTGGCGGGCTGGGGTTAGCGGAATTTGTAACCCGCTCACTTGGGAGGCAGCGGCCTGCAGGGTCCGCGTCCTCATCCTCCGGCTTTGCCCCTTTCTTCCCTCTGGGTGGGCAACAGTCGCTTCCCAGTTGATCATCTGAGAGCTGTACGCCTGGGTGTAGATGTCGAATACATTGATCTTCTTATTTTTATCTGTTTTTATTTTTATGGTACACAGACGACAGGGAATCATTGGGCATCTTTGAAGTATAAATAAATCAGGTCTGTTTTTCCCCAAACGGTTCCCACGGCAGGGGCTGGGGATACCTTGACCGACATCCAACAGACTCTATGTAGGCAATGAGGGAAAACCAAGGAGCGACGAGGGGCGGGAACTCCGAGCAGGTGCTCAAAGACGAAGAAAATCTGTGCTGGGCTGGGGTGGTCACTTTCTTCTCAGAGATGCAGAGTGCTACACGGCGAGTGGGAGGGTGGGCTCCCACTCCCTGTTACAGGAGCCGCTTGGAACTGGGGATTCAACCTGGGAAACAAGGAAAGCCGATGACGCGAACCTAGAGAAGCTAAGAAGAGAAGCTAGAAGCATGAACGAGAGAATTTTGGGGAATAGATCCGGGCTTGGAGAGGAGACTGCGAAGCGCCAGTCAGCCTAAGGAAGGTTCTGATACCCAGTGGAATTTATAGAAAATGATTTCGGAAAGAGAGAAAGAAAGAAAGAGAGTGGTGGGCAGTCTGTCCTTAACGAGGCGTTATGTCCGCCTGCCAAGGATCCCACCGTCACTGGTCCTGAATCTATATTTCATCTGTAACGCCAGTCCTGAACAATAGTCTCAGAAATCCTTCAAACTCATGTGCCACACACAGAACCCGAGACAGTTTTTTCTCTTTTGTTACAGAGGCTCCTTGAGAGAGAAATGAATATACAAAAATGTCTCAGCAGAAAGTACTGAAAAGCCATCCCACCCCATCCATTCTCAGAGACTAAAATCAAGCTAGTCAGAGGAAGGGGTTTACAAAGCAGGACTGCACTGTGGGACAATCCCTGCATTTTGGCTCTCCCTCACACCCTCTTCAAATTGAGCCCAAGCCCCACATTCTGAGGATGATACTCAGGACGTGAGGGGGCTCTGAAAAAGGGCTGATCCCTCCGCAAACTCAGGGTGATGCACACAGCCAGGAGGAAATGAGAAAATTATCACAATTCTTTCAGATTCACAAATGCCATGTTCCCTTTGTTTTAAGGCCACGAAGGTCAAGTAAGGACCCAAATAACTACCAAACATCTCAGAGAACGCTTTGGGCAAGAGTGCGGAGACAATCAATTGCATTGTTCCCATTACAGTTTGCAGTTATTAATTTCATGGAAGAGAGCACGTCACACCGGGGGCAAGACACAGTAGGAACTGCCAGATTAAGTAGCACAGATATCCCGGAATGTTCTGCGGCTCTTTGTATTTTAAGGAAGTTTTGATTACTGACTGACTGTTGACGAGTCAACAGTTGATGAGGAGGAGGTTTTGGGGCTGGCCATTCCAGGCTCCACGTTCACACCACGGCACCACCATTCCTAGGGTGTCTAGACATGTACACTTGCAAAAACCATGTATATAGAGAAAATGATTTTATTTATATGTGAGAGCACTTTTAAGTTTGAAACTTTCAATAAAGACTTTTTTTTTTTTTTTTTTTTTTTTTGAGAGTGCAGTGGTGCGATGTCGATCCACTGTAACCTCCACCTTCCAGGTTCAAGCGATTCTCCTGCCTCAGCCTCCCGAGTAGCTGGGATTACAGGCGTGCGCTACCACGTCCAGCTAATTTTGTATTTTTAGTAGAGACGGGGTTTCGCCATGTTGGCCAGGCTGGTCTCAAACTCCTGGCCTCCAGTGATTCGCCCCGCCCCCGCCTCGGCCTCCCACCGAGCCTGGCCTAATAAGCACTTTTTTTAAGTTTTATCATTTTAATTAAATATTTCAGGCTTTAAATAGGAAAGGGAATGAGATAATTTTTGTTCGTTTTTCCAGGTTGCTGAACAAAATAATTACCAGAAAGAAATCAACATTTAGCTTTAATTTTTGATGCTACAAGACCCCTCTGGAGACAGTGTTCACGCAGTATCTGGAGAGTGTTGTTTAGGCTCCTGCTTCCTCACGCAGTCCCCTCCAACAATGCTGTTGGTCCATTGTGCTTCCCACTGTCCTTAGTCCATCTCATCCATGAATAGGCCATCAGCTCCCCCAGACCAGCAGCGGTGGGCTTTCCTTTGAAATCTGGAGGGTCTGGAGGGCTGCGCAAACTTCCCTTGACTTAGTTATCTCAGAGCATTGTGATGGAAAAGAAACATCCCATGCAAGTGGACAGCACTAGGTTGTGAACTGGAAGGAAGGTGGGAAAGGAGAGATACCCATTACGCATTTCACTTTCTTGAACTCAGCAGCAGAGAGAATGATGAAATCAATAGCTTGAGAGAACTAGGAAATTTTAGGGCCATGTTTGCATGTGTGTATGTACTTGTTGTTAACAAATTGGTAATAGATCATAAATATGATCTAATATTAACTTTTTTTTCTGATTGTCACCCATACAAAAAAAATTTCTCTTAATGGCTGATTATAAATAATAAAGTAAAATCTACAGATTTTTATGTTTTTTAAGACTCTTTTCATCCATAAAAGGTCCCTGGTCTTTCTTTTATGGATATTATTTTTTAAAATTGATAGACATTATTTTTTAGAGAAGTTCTGGGTTTAAAGAAAAATTGACCAGAATAGATAGAATTTCCATAAACTCCATCACTCTACCTCTCTTACAATTTTCCCTATTATTAACATCTTGCATCAGTATGGTACACTTGTTACAACTGGTAAACCAGTAATTACTAATACATTATTGTTAACTGAAGTCCACAGTTTACATTACAGTTTGCTCTTTGTGTTATACATCCTGGGTTTTTTTTTTTTTAACAAATGTATAATGACATATATTTACCATTATAGTATCATAAAGAGTTAATGCCAGTTAGTTGTTGAAGGAACTGGGCCTTTTATCCTTAGAAACACCTCTATGTTGTATTTATTTCATTGTATCTATTTCCTGCCCCTTGACATGTTTCTTCACCTACTCTATTTCTTGTAAACTGGTAGTTACAAGTAGAGGCTCACTTAGATTCAGCTTCAAATCTTTTAACAAGACAATTTGATAGGTGGGCTTGTGCACTTTCCATTGCTTCGCTTTATGAGGTACATAATGTCTGGTTCTCCAACTTTTAGTCACCAATATTAGCACTAATGTGTGGTTCAGCTGCCATTCATAAATACATGTATATATAACTCGTATACTTATGTGAATGTACATATTTATGTGTTGATAAACAAAATGATACACAAAAATTAGAAAATAACATTGAAAGAATGAACGTAAAAGTAAACAAGAAGAGATTAACTCTCGAATGCACAGTTTAGAAAAGAATCAAAAGTATATCTTCGAGCTCCTTAGAATATAATGAAAATGGGGACTTAAAATGACATATTTCTAAGGACTCTGTAGAAACTGCTTTCTCATTTTAAATTACACCTTTTAATACCCAAGTTACAAAACATTAGAAGAAATCAGTGCATTAAATATAAGAAGGAAGAAGAAGAAGAAGAAGAAGAAGAAGAAGAAGAAGAAGAAGAAGAAGAAGAAGAAGAAGAAGAAGAAGCCCGAAAAAAAAAAAGAAAAAGAAAAAAAAAAAGAAAATAGAATGGTGAAGGAAACACAGGAATTAACTAGAAAATTGCAAAATCTGATTGGTCATTTGAAAAAGAAGTGTAAAATGGTCAGCCAAATGTAAAATAATAATAATAATAAGGGGATATGGAGAAAGCACAAAGAAAAACCAAAAACATTAGTGAATGCTATTATTAAGATTTGAGAAATGTGGCAGGATAATGTTTTTAAGTATTGCTCTGTCTTTGATCTCCCTGTTTCCTTATCTGTTCAAGGCAGTAACCGTATTTTACAGAACCTTAACTCTACGCATGGGGATGAAGCGAGTTGAACACAGTGTACATAGACAGCGTTTCGGTACTCAGGAAGCTCCCACTCTAGGGGAGAGAAAAACAAACCAGTAACTTAAAGACATACTTTCTGGAGGAGACGATATTTGTGAAGATGTAGTAGGAATTGAGAGATCGTGTGGGCATCACTTTTAGCTGTACTTGTCTAAAGACGGGAAATTTGCATTGAGACCTGAGTAGCTAGAAGTGCCAAACCTGTGGCAGGAGTGGAAAACATGGGAGGATGGAAGCAGGGGCAACAAGACTCTTACATGGGGAGCAGTAAAACACGAGATCGGGGGAGGGGGCAGGTTCCTCTGATCTTCTCCCAGGTAAGAAGCACCGCCGTTGTCAACAGGAGAAAGAAGCGGGTATACAAACCAAGAGACATAAACCGGACAAGGAACTGGAGAATGCGGGCGTCGATCCCGCTACCTCTCGCATGCTAAGCGAGCGCTCTACCGCCTGAGCTAATTCCCCACTGAGGATACACCACCCCCCACCCATTTTCCTGGTTATCAGGAGCCTGCCGGTACTTTGGGCCGCCAAATCCCTGGCAGGACAAGATTGAGGGCGGAGCTTCTCAGATACTGCCTTGGGCAAAGTTCTACGAGCCTGAGAGTGTGAAGAATACGGATTTCCAAAATAGGTCATGAGGGAGACCTCTCTCCTCACTTCTCAATTTCGCCTTCTTCATCTCTCGGAAGTAGAGAGCACGTTCCAGTTGGAGAAGCACCACCCGGAACTGCCTGGCTTGCGGGCACAGCTATTGCAGCCCGCTCTAGAGCTGTGATCCTCACCTGCTCCCTGCAGGCAAGGCCGCCCGGAAGTAGTGGGGCAGCTTCTCCCAGCCCCAGAACTTCACGCCATACGCGCCGCATCTTCAATAGCACTTTCCTCCTGTAGGACTCAGAAAGTGATGGAGAACCTTGGAGGAGTTGAGAAAGAGAAAGCTTGAGAATTTTCATCTCAATCTGTGGATTCATTCCTGAAGCACTTCTTCAGCACCAGGCACAGTGGATGAGGCCAGTGATCCACATAGAAAGTGCCACAACAATAGCAAGTAATAGTACTGTGCAATTGCCGTCTAGACCCTATTTTAGATGCTGTACACATATTAATAGTAATGCAGGTAAAATGCCTAGAAATAGTTTATAATCTTCATTTTTTATATGAAAAATTATGGAAAATTGTCACCACAGAGCTCAGGGATCTCTCAGCCAAAAGGAAAAACAGATGCAGGCTATACCGTGTCTGCTGTGTAGGTGCTTCTCCTGCCATTTCCCTTCCCTGTCACCTTCCTCCCCCCTTCTCTTGCTCCATTGGGCACCACACTTGTCCTTCTTATGCCTGTCTAGTTCTTCAATTCCCGGGCCCACAGAAGAAGGCTTCCCCTGTAGCCCAGGGGAGGCTACATTAGCTCCACTGCCTTGGAGTTGTAGTGGATTCCAAATCTGCTTTCCACCTGTGAAGAATTCTCATTTAAGACAGGAACATAGTTATTTTACTCTGAGTATAACTAGCGTCAAGTAGGATTTTTGCCTGATGAAAATTTGCTGAATGGAGAAAGGCTATACAGATAATTTAGAAGCCTCAAAGGAGAGAGTGGCTTCAGATCAGTAAAGACTGAAGAAAGGATTAGAAGCTAGGGTCTAACAAACCCATAGAAATGTTTTTGCCTGAAAAGGAAATGTGGTTGGGGAAGAGTGGAGGGGCACTACTTTCAGAGTGATTAGTGGGTGGAGGCATGGCCTTCATGGAACTGCAGGTGGTTTGGGGCAGCTTCAGGTCCCTCCTTCACGGTCCCAGTTTATTAGGAGTGCACATCCTGAGAAGGAAAGAGGCTGCTCCTATGGGACAAAAATTCAACAACATGTTTATTATTTATGACATTCATTTTTGAGATCATTTATGAATAAGAAGATAAAATAGAAAAACATGTAATCAATAACATTGTCTTTCTATTACGATTAACAAAGGGCAATGCTGAGAAGTCAAATGGTGTCAGAGAGAGATTTGAGTGATGGGAAAGAAAGAAGGATGGAAAGAGGGGCACGTCCCAGGGACCTACAAGAGCTTCCTGGAGTCATCTATCCAAAGACCACTCTCTCCAGCATTCTGAGCTCTGCTTGGGCCAGTTGAGCTAGTCAACATATGTGTTGTTAATACAGCGCCTCATGTAGTTTCTTTAAATAGGGGATAGTGTTGCAATTTCAAAAATACATTTTTTTACGTTTTGGTTCATCTTGGAAATTAGAGGAAGACCTAGGTCCCCATTTATTTTGAGCACATTTTTGTCAGAACGAGCTTTCAGAGAGATGAATAGAAGGAATAAATGTCACTTTTCTTAGTGAGAGTGTATCCGACCACTAGAGTTAATATGCTAGCTCCCACCTTCACTTATACTCCTTCCTTACCTCTCTCCTTACCTCTCTTACCTACACAGGAGAGAGGTAAGGAAGGAGTATAAGTGAAGGTGGGAGCCTGGCCAACTCTCAGATAATCTGGTAGAAGACACGTTTTCATCCTCTACCTGACCATGTGTTGTCAATGTGAATAAAAGCAAAAGGTTGGCACATTCAAGTCTCCTGCTTTTGCCTCCTGACACTATTTCCAGGCTGTTCCTCATATTTTGTACCCAAAAGGCTAAAGTTTGATTTCCCCACAAAAATACATTGTATTAACTTCGAGCTGAAGCCCCAAAACCTGTATTGGCAAAACTCACTTGTGACTAATCGCTTCCTTTTTTGCTTTTGCATGGAATGCTATGTATAATTTCCTTAAAAAAAAAATGTACATAACAAGATGAAACTGAGTCAAATAAAGAGCGGTAAATCCGCTGAAAGTATTTACCAGATACCATTGGTAGCCTAGGGATTAAAAGAAGCTGGAGAGTGCAGGCGTCGATCCTGCTACCTCTTGCATGCTAAGCAAGCGCTCTACCGCTTGAGCCAATTCCCCCACACCGCATTTGTCTTTTCTGCCTGTTTTGATAACCGGGACACAAATATCGTTCCATGTCCCACTTAAGTTTCCAGCTTTTCAAACACCTCCGGGAACTTCCCTACCAAGGCGAAGCGAGGAATGAAGTTTCTGGGAGACAGCCTCAGACCTGGAAGGCAGTGACCATCCTCTGCTTTTTCAATCTGAGTCGGGATCCTGAGAAAGAGAGAAAAGATCTCATTAGGAAAGCACTAGTTCTAATCTGATTTCACTCTCCCATTAGATGAAAGAGAAGGAAGTACCGTCCCTAATTAGCAGTTACCTCAAATGCTCTGTTGAATGCATCACTTTTTAAGAACACAAACCTGGAAATAAGCCCAAGTATCTTTTTATCGATTGATCCTTCAAGTAACTTATCTAGTATCTGTGTTACTAATTGTTTCTCCATTCAGGGGAGTTGAGATCTGTTGTTACCTATTAATCCTTGATAGATTTAATTTGCATTTTTGTACTGATTAATGTTGTTGAACATCTTTTAGTGTGCCTTATTGGCCATATAAGCATCTTATTTTGTGAAATGCCTGCTCAAGTTTTTTGCCCTTATCCTTACTGAGTGTTTGTATCACTGAGTTCTAAAATGTGTTCTATATTCTCCATAAAAGTCCTTTGTTATATGTGTATCCATAACACATATGTTGTATAACAACTATGTGTGCATATAACATATATTACATTTCTTTTCAAGTCTATGTCTTGCCTTTTCATTTTCTTAATATTGTCTTTCAAAGAAAAAGCATTTTAATATTTTATGAAATCCAGTGTATCTTTTTTTGTAAGGGCTCATGCTTTTCTGGTTCCTTCTGAAAAAGCTTTGCCTACATCAGATATGTGCAGACTTCTTTTCTTCTACAAGTTTGATAACTTTAACGTGAAGCTTTACGTATATAAACCATTTTGATTTAATTGTTGTATAGGATGTGAGTTAAGGGTAGGGAATCATTTTTTCCATACTCAGTTGCCTGGGACCATTTGTTTAAAAAACTCATTAAATAACATTTTACCTCTGTCATAAATCAGTTGACCACATACGTTGGTCTGTTTCTGGACTATCTGTTCTATTCCGTCAATCTGGGTAAGTATCCTTGAGACAATACCACATTATTTTGATTACCTTAGCTTTATAATAAGTCTTGACATCACCTGGTGTAAGTCCTCTAACTTTGTTTTTCTTTTCCTAATTATTTAGGTTACTCTAGGTCCTACAGAATAAGCTTGTCAATTTCTGTAAAAACAAACAAACAAAAAGAAAAGAAAACAAAACAAACAAAACAAAAATCTCCTGCTGGGATATTTGTTGGGATTGTAGTAAATCTATAGATCAACTCAGAGGGAAAAAAATGATATCTTAATAATATTACCTTTTTCAATCTGTAAATATGTCAAACAACACCAATTAGTCAAGCTTTCCTGAGTTTTTCTCAGCCATCTTTTGTAGATTCCTAGGTACAAGTCCTGTGCACACTGACAAGTTTATCTCTAAATATTTCATTTGTTTTAAACCTATTGAAAGTGGTAATTTAATTTTCCATTTTTTTGATGCTAGTACATAGAAATACAATTAATTTTTGTATACTGTAATCTGTGACATAGCTGCATTTACTTATAATGCTTATTTTTGTGGATACACTAGGATTTTTTGTGTATCTGATCATGTTGCTTGCAAACGAATATATTTTTCTTATTCTAAAGTGAGTATGCCATTTATTCTTCATTCATGCGTTCCTTACTTTCTGACACTAGCTAGGACTTTCAGTAAAATGTAGAAGTAGTAAGGACAGATATTTTGCACTTTTCTCCAATATTAAAGGGTACATATTTATTCTTCCACTATTAACTCTATTGCTAGTTGTAGGACTTTCTTAAACGCCCATTATTCATCTGAGGAATTTTCCTTCTATTCTTAGCTTACTGGGATATTTTTTAAACACCACGAATGAATGGCAAATTTGGTCCAATATTTCTTCTGCATCTAGTGAGATGATTACATGTATTTTTTGTTTTGTTAATGTGGTATATTACATTTAATTGACTTTTCAATGCCTAACTAATTTTTTATTCCCGAGGCAATCTCCCCTAACTCATGGTGCATTATGCTTTACAGATAATGCTGGATTCAATTTGTTAATATTTTAATTCAGTATCTGTTGGTAAATGTGTCAGAGAAGGGTCTCCAAGTGTGGAACGCGCCGCTTTCACAGCTCAGAGAAACATGGTGAGCACAGTGCTCCCTTCTAAGTGACGGGAGCTTCGAGATACAACAATGAGACTTTACTTTGGAGGAAATGTCTCAGAATTTCACAGATCCTAAAAACTTTCATTCACGAACCAGGTCGATGAATGGTTTCTGTGTTTCTCTCCCACCCTCTGGAGCATGCAGGGCTTAACAAAATCTGCAACTTACTTGACACTTCTTGCTCATCGAAGATTTAAATGATACTATCAATACAGTGTACCAATGTTTTGCTGTTGGTGCAGACAGTTCAATTCTCTTTGGACTAGATTAGGAAAAATTGGGGGACTTGGTATACCTCTGGAGTAAGAACATAAATGCATACTTTTGTCTAGTCCATGTGAATATGAACTGTTTCTGTTCTTTCTTCCTGATAACAATAGAAAAAATGCATTCCCCAAATCAAAGACTGCATGCCAAAGACCTTGCAATTTTTGCTTTTATGTTCATATTGTTTATAACATGATTAATTTATTAACTTTACATTCCAATTCTATTTTCTTATGTATTCAAGTGAAAAGTGTTAATTATGAGAAATTCTGCACTATGGCACTGCTAATATTGCAATCTATATCCCAGACTTCGTTTTACCGACAGAAGAAAGCATACCCTCATCAATTTGTCATGTCTTCGGAAGAAGGGACATGGGTTTGTAGTGGAATTCATGACTTTTTCTGCCTGAACATTAATTAGCAGAAGCATGCTCCATTTCTTTATATAGACCCACTCTTAGAACCAAGGTGAACTGAGTGAAAAAGATACTTGCCTTTATATTTCTCTTATCAAACTAACCATTCTTGAATCTACCTTTATCACTTTTCTCCCAGGACCTCCTAGTGGAAGAAACTGTGAAAATGGCTGGTGTCACTTCAGACGCAAAAGGAAAAGTGGCACATCATGTTCAGAATCCGATTAAATAGTGTCAGCAATTATTACCTCTGCTTAAAGGATTCAGAGCTGAGTTTGTTCAGCTACCCTGCCCTGACTAATGGCATCATGCAGGTGTACTTAGAAGTAAATTTAAAACTCCCCCTTACTTTAGGATCACACATCTCCTAGGGTAATTGCAGGAGTGATTGGGAAAGAGCAGTCTACTCTGAGGAGGTCAGATGGAGACCAAGTGAATCCTGTAAAATACAAGTAGTGTCATATGACAAAAATGCAAATCCAACACTACTAAGTCTTGGATTTCTTCTTTGTTTCCTTGATTAATTTTCTTGCTTCGCTCCAAAAATCATAGCATAAAGCAAATTATTGTTCTACCTATTGCTTTCCACTTTACTCATCTTTCATCTGGTGTCTGTGTGATTATGTCTCCATTAGAGACTGAGACCTGTTATTACCTATTAAATCCCTTCATTCCAGGATGTGGAACTAATTAGATAAGTTTCAGATTGTTGAATTTAGTGGTTATTTTAGAGGTAATTAGATCGTTAAATTTAACACTTGTAGCTCCACATGATGATGGAGTGCAAATATCTATTTATTCATAAATATCCATAGGCAGGGATCAGAACCAACATTGAGAAGACCCACTCCCTCCAAACAAGACGACCAAGAAAACAAATTGATTCTACTACCTTGGATTTATTAAACTTGCTGAGCAAAGAGCCGTACCTCTATGGAGTCCCAGTACTGCCTAAAACAAGGGTGAGTCAGAGACCAGAATTTAAAGGGTCTGGGGACTGGAGCTATTCATAGGACACTTTTAGGGGGAAGGTTAGTAAGGTCCTTCTCAGGAGGGACTGGACAGAATTTCTTTTTCTTTTTCTTTTCTTTTCTTTTCTTTTCTTTTTTTTTTTTTTTTTTTTTTTTTGAGACGGAGTCTTGCTCTGTCGTCCCGGCTAGAGTGCAGTGGCGCGATCTCGGCTCACTGCAAGCTCCGCCTCCCGAGTTCACGCCATTCTCCTGCCTCAGCCTCCCGAGTAGCTGGGACTACAGGCGCCCGCCACCACGCCCGGCTAATTTTTTTTGTATCTTTAGTAGAGACGGAGTTTCACCGTGTTAGCCAGGATGGTCTCGGTCTCCTGACCTTGTGATCCGCCCGCCTCGGCCTCCGAAAGTGCTGGGATTACAGACGTGAGCCACCGCGCACGGCCAGAATTTCTAAACTAGGCGAATCATAGGTTTATTCAGTGGAACTTAGCTGCTGGAACATGAAGATCTGCGCAGAGTTGCTGGATCCGTTTGGCTTTGGTCTTATCTTGGATCATCGGGTCTGAGTAAGCTGGTGTTAAAACAATTTGAGCTTAGTGTGGTATGGCAGGGTTTGTAGACTCGTCCTGTGCTGTAAGTCACAGGGCTTTTGCAACTTCTGTGTTTGTTCATTTCTCAATTTGCCCTCTTTCCTCACCAACAGAACTGCCCAAGAAATCAACTTACAGTATAGCTACTGGAACTTAGCTCCGAAAAGGTCCTCTGCAAATCTAGAACACTTGTTTTTTTTTGTTTTTTTTTTTTTTTTTCCAAATAAGAAAGTTGAAGAGCAAAACGACGTGTCTAACGTCACACATTGAGCTTTAAAGACAGATGGGATCTGGCATGCGTTTGTCAGTTAACAGTGCTAGCACAAATACAACTCTTGTTAAAATCGTAAGGATTTTATGTCGTGAGACACTCAGGACTCACCTGATCTCGGTGTTCAGTTGTGCGTAGTTTTTGATTTGCGCCTCGCCCTTGGGCAAGTGCAGAATCCTGGGGTTATACAAAGCTCATCACAGTTAACCCCTTTGTCCCAGTCCGCAGAATGAGAGCTCAGAGCCCGGCCATGGGAGGCTCGGTTATATAGGCAGGAAAATCAAGGAACCCAGGTATGAGCAGGGGCGTTTGTGGCGCGGAGAGAGCTCCTATCCCTGCCGTCCATCTACGTCTCAGGCTTGGCCCCTGGCGTGCAGAAAACCGCATCTCCCGAAATCCCAGAACGTAAACGTCACCCAGGTACTCGCTCTCTTGTCATTCTCCGGGATGTAACAGACTCGGGGTCTCTTCACGGATCACCGAAACCGCCTTCTCCGAGGCCTCCAGGGTGACTAAAGAGAGGGTGGGTGTTCTGTGTTCTCCCGCCGGTGTGTTCCTCTTCACGTCCAGCCGCTTGTGTCCGTGCCCGCTAGGGTCTCGGGAGTTTTTATAGGCACAGGATGGGGGCGTGGCGGGCCAGGGTGGTCTTGGGAAATGCAACATTTGGCCGCGGAGGAAGGAGTGCCCGTCCTCACCTAGATCCATGGGCACAGGCCCGGCGGCGGAGCCCTGCTCCCCTCCCTTATCAGTACCGCGGTTAGTGCTCTGCTTTATGGCCGCAGCAATCTCAGACACTTTCGGAGCGTGTTTTTTTTTCTTGTCCTTTCGCTCCCCTTTTCGGGCGCCAGCTTTCAAACCAGACCAAAGGTGTGCTTTTCCCCCATTATCTCCCAGCCTTCTTTCCTTTTCGCCTCTACTCAAGACTGTGTCCACAATTAAGCTCTCAGGAGGAGGAGGCCTCCAGCTGCCTCAAGGAAGGGCATTTCTCGCAGTGCAAAGTGCGGAAGAGGGGAGCCATACCGACTGAAGTATTAACCAGAGTCGGTTTGCATAGAGGCTGCAATGGATAGAATTTCAGAAGTGAGGCGGAAAGACAGGCCAGCCCTGCGAAAGATGGATTGGAGAGAGGTGAGAATCTAGTTCAAAAGCCGGGAGAAGGAACAGGACATTAGCACAATAGTCTAGGCAGAGAGCTGGACCACCTGTAATACGGCAAGGGGGTTGGTTGAGATTTCCTTTATTCAGTTATTCGAAATGTATCTATTGAGCTATTTATTAGTCCCTGGGTACTGTGGGTGTTCCTGCGTATTCAACCACCTTGTCGACGCTGCAGGATGCGGCCCCATTACCCAGGACCCAAAGAACTTCCAAAAATGAATCCCGAGGAACAGCTGTTTCTCTACTGGAGAAGTGGGCAGCCAGGCGGAAACACGCAGGGAAATAGTTCTCTTTGGGACAGAAGGCATCAACCTCGTAAGACCCAGCGATCAGCAGAGCTCCCGGAGAGTGTTTCTTAATCTAAAGGTCATGAGTCGGGCTGCAAAGTTGTCTTGTCGTGCGTAAAATACCAATGGACTTATACCTGTTTCATCGAGAAGGAATACAATGCGAACACAAAGACTGTAATGGAACGTATTTCTCTAAAGTGTCCTTTTCAGATAGAAATACGAGAGCGTTTTCCTGAGTTTTCTAAAAATGGGGTGGGGTAGGGATCAAATACTCACTTCTGGGAAACATGGGCGAATTCAGTGGGAATCGTGCTAGAAGTTACGAGCAGAGGAGCCTGGGTGGGGACTTATACTGGCCTTGACGGCCCGTGGAAAGGAACTGGCGGCAATTCCTTCCGTTTTCCGTCAATTTCTTCACGGGTCGCTCAGAAGCTACGGAAGCAAAGTAGAAAGGAGTGATAGGGACAGGCCACAGTACCGGCGGACGGTGATGGCGTTGCGTTTAAAAGGGTGGTCACTGAAACCCTTTGTCGTGAAACACTGAAGCAGGTGACATTTGAACTTTCCTTCCGCAGAATTGTATTTTAACTGAAATTTCCAGGTTAGAAGAAATTTGCCGAGGATCGTAACCAAGTTAGCAAAGATCGTAGGTTCTTTCCAACTCCAAGAACTTCAGAAAAGTTTCTTTGGTGATTGGAATAACGTTCGCCTTTAAACTTCTCAAGAGAGGTAGGGTCCGTTCCGCCGGCGGGGCCGGTTAGCTCAGTTGGTCAGAGCGTGGTGCTAATAACGCCAAGGTCGCGGGTTCGATCCCCGTACGGGCCACAGGCTTTTCTAATGTTTATTTCACGGGCCACAGGCTTTTCTAATGTTTATTTCACAGTAACAATTATGTGTAGCCACGTCAAAGCTCACAAGAGAAAAAGAATGTAAATGTGTGTGAACCCAGCAATCTACACAGACTTCTAATGCTTGTCTCACAGTAGCAACTGTGGGCAGTGATACAGAAAGTCACAAGAGAACTCACGAAAGTAAATGTATTTGTACCCAGTAACCTTGATAGGACGTAGTTCGCTGAATCGTAGGGTTGCGTTTGCAGTTCAGTGTTCCTGCAAGAGCAGATGACGAAGAGAGCTAAGATTCCAGAAAGAAATTGAAATCCGGGAGGAACGTGAAAAACAGAGACGAAAACAGGGAAATAAGGACCTGGGCTTTTCATTCTTTTACGATTTCCAAAGTGTACAAATCTTTCTCTGTCGTGACTAACTCCTGATATGGGCTTTCCTAACTGTGCATCTGCTTACTTCCCGCAGACCTGTCCTTGGCTTGTGCAGGGTAAGTAAAGCCTCTCAAGAACTCCCATTTTTCATTTCTATTTCCTCTCTTTTAGCTTCCCTCACTCAACTCTAGAGATACTGGACTTAAGGAAATGTCCCCATAGAACGCTGAGCCTTTCACCTCCTCTTTGCTCGTCTCACGGCTTTGTTAGACACGAAACCATCTTCTGGAAAATGTCTTCCCTGACACCTCTCCTACTTTTCTGAGTTTGGGTTGCTTTCCTCCTAGCACTCACGGAGATCCAGGTACGCATTTGTTTTAGCGGCATTCACCATGTTGGGATTGTCTGTTGCTTGGCCATCTTCTCCATGAGACCATAAGCTTCTTGGGGGTAGGATGCTTATTGCTAAATACTTTCAAAAGTCTGCATGAGCCAATGAAGAGTGAAGGATAGGTGTGCAGGCATGATGGAAAGAGTGTCTTGTGGTCCAAATGGGCTTCACGGGTCTGTAGAATCCATGCTATCGCAACATAGTGCATTTTGGTCAGACGAACAATAGGCTACACTATATGGTGATTGGCTCCATTTCACTGAACGTACCTCTAAGGCTCTGAGTGGCTCTATATGCCCCCCAGGACTGGATAGTGGTAAAGGACAGAGCATGCGCAATAGATCCAAAGTCAGGCAAGGTCTGAAATGTTTAACTTTGCTGAGGCTGAGAGACAGGAATGAACCCTCTTCCGCGATGGGAATTTCTACTCCACTGATCCATAGTAAATAAAACAGCGAGCCAATGCACCTCAAACCTCTATTTTCTATTACATTAATGTGATTGGTTTTGACATTTTCAAAATTCAAGTGATCACAATGATTTAGAACTAATGTTTACAAAACTATAATTTAGGAAATCCTTAGCTGTAAGCAGACACACCTACACAGAATAAAGAGAGTGATATGCCCTTTACTTCAGTGTCATTTATAACACTGGGGTAATAATACTTGGGGAAGCTGAAAAACTATATTGACCGACTTACGTAAAAATTAAGAAACATTCAGTATAATTTCTAGCACATAGTGCTGAAAACCTCCTTGTATGTGGAATATTGTTCACCTTTAAGGAAAATGCTTTCAAGGTCTGAGGAGAGATAGTAACGCATTTCTGTTGCTACTGGCTGTTTTGCTCATTTAGTTGTAGCAACAAGCTTCTGTGAACATAAAAATGAAATAACGCTTAAAAAAACAAAATAGATGGTGGAGGAACACAATAGGGATGCAAAGTAAGGTATGATTTTCTAGGCAAAAATTGAGCTGTACAAAATAATGTAGTAAAGGATTTGTGCCTGATTCTTTTTTGTATCCCCTTTGAAGCTTATTTAGCTTATATTCCAAGGCCTCAATTGTCATCCTTCTCCCAACAAGACTGTTTCTCTGTACCACGAACATTCTGGTGAAATTCTCTGCTTAAGCATCTTGACCTCTTGAGCACTCATCTTTGTACTGAGACCCCGATATATGCCCAAATGATGCCCTTCCATAGGAGGGTTTCTTGTTTTGCCCAAAGAGCAATCAATTTTTCAAGCAATTTAGGGCTCTTTCCTCACTCGGGGTCTATGTGAAACCTTAGAGGGAAGCCTGTTCTTTCCAGGAAGAGAATCCCGGTGGGTTCTAACCTCAACCTGTAAATCCACTAAGCAAGCTCCTACTGAACACCTATGATGCAAGCTCAATCCAAGAGGCCAGCACTCTGCAAGGGGAAGGCAACCAAAGCAATAGGTAATGCTTACTGAGCAGTTCTTATTGATCAGATCCCTCTCTAGGTGCTGGGATCCAGCCAGAGAATCCCACAGTCCTCATTTCCTACGTGAAGAAAGATGATTGAAGGAAGGAGCAGGAGTGGGGAGTGGGGAGGGGGTGGAGGGTGGGTAAAGGATGTCTTCAAGGTGACAACTTCTCAGATTCCGCTCCTAAAAGCTTCTGAATGGGCCATCTCCACACTCCCAAGTCCCTTACTGCCTGTGGGTTCCTTCCCAGTAGACGTTGTCACATAACATCTTATGTATTTTTCTTGTTTGCTTCTGATCTGTTTCTCTTCACCCCTATCAACTAGAAACTAGCTTCGCAAAGGTGAAGAATATATGCGTTTTTTCACTGTTGAATGGCTGTACCCCGAACAGTCTCTTAACAAGATACGTGCTCGAGAAATACATGTAGGATAAAAGAATAAATGACTTCACCCACTCACCTCATAATTACAATTGGGTAACCTTGAGAGCAGAAAGCTCGACAAAAAATTTCCTGTTTCTTCCATCAGCTAGTGAGAAAGACCAATTATATGATATAGCTTGCAGTTTCTTCTGTAATCTATATCCCTTTACCACTCATTTTACTCAAACCACTGACAAGCCAAAAAACAAACAAACAACAACAAAAAAACTCCAAAAAACCGAAATCACTTTTCCATTCTAAGCTAATGTTGAGTCAGTCTTCAAACTGTTATCTCATAGCATTTGCATTTCATTATTTAGTGCACCCATTTTGTTTCCCTCAACTGAAATAGCAGCAAAAACTGTATCCTCTCTGATGTTCAAACTCAAAACCTTTAGATTATGAGATTGATGTGTGGCCTGCTGCAGAAAGAGGGCGGTTCTCACCCAAGAATTGACATCCCACGTGCTATTTTCCCAAGCACTGCTGCTTTATCAGTTCCTAACTTTCAAAGAACACAATCAATGGTGCTTGGAAATCACTCTTTATCAGCCAATCCTGCACCCAAAGAATTTTATCCTCAGGACAGGTGGAATCTACCCATTTCTAGTATTCATCTAACAAGACGACCATCTTGAGGCAAGAGGCCAAGAACAATTGTACCTGTTTTGCTGACTTTTTCCCTCTTGTGGCCCAGTGATCTGACTTCTCCCTCCTTCAGAGATCTTAATCACTCTTACACCTCCTATGGTGTCCTTTTTTGAAAAGACACACAGGACATGTTCAGTCCATAATAGTTCACTGACTGACCAACTGAACGAATGAAGGAATGAAAAAATAGTCTTTAAAGGTGTCTCCTGTCCATACTACTGTGTCTTACTCTCTATCTCCTCTTGCATCTACACGACTGGAGACAATCCTGCTACAAAAAGTGTAAAGCAAATCTTGTATGCCATTAATTATACTAAGAGATTTATTGAATTTACTTCATGTAGTCCAACAGAGTTTCACCAACAAAACTATGTGTCCTAATCTGGACTTTCTAGAAGTAATGGAACCTCAGATAAGTTTTGTTTCCAAGGTGCCAGAGCTGCTAAGTGTCAAAGCTTGAACTGAGGAGAAGATGTTTTAGATTTTAAAACGTGATTCTTTCTCTGCTCCAGTTCACAATCTTACTCCCTACTCCTCTCCACAGCACCCCATTCATTCACACACCAAATATCTCATTCCCCAAATCCCCTTCACTTACCTTTTGGGCTTTGTTTCCAAGTCAACTTTTGACACATTTTTCTCCTTCAAACACCACATCCAGTGATTTGTGAAATAGTAAACATTATTCCTGCACAACATTTTTGAACCTGTCAATTCCTTTCCATTGATTCAGTACACATTCACAGGGAAGATGCTCTGTGCCAGACACTGTGGTAAGTTCAGGAGATTCTAAAGATTCAAGCAGCCCAGACCTCAAGAGAAGGCAGGACAAATATGGAGAAGGGAAGATCCACGTCCAGTTTTACGATTTCAGTCTCCGTGTCATGTCATTTACAGCTAAATAACCCTTTCAAAAATGTCAGTTTCAATATATCACTCTTTTGCACCCTGAACATTCCTGATTTCCTAGTTATAGCATGATCTTGTTTTTCTTTTATTTTTTTTCTCTTCTTTCTACCCAAATTGTGATTTTGCTGTAGAAAGTTGATTGATTAGATCCATTGCTGTATGGATGTTGTTCGGGTCTCAAATGTGTTTACTGATTTATTGTCTACTGGATCTATCAGTTACTGAGAGGGGACTGTTAACGTCTGCAAATGTAATTGGATTTTTCTATTTTTATCTGGATTATCCAATTTTGCTTACGAGTTTTGAAGCCCTGTGTCCTTATATGCATTTGGGACATTATTTCTCTGGTGTGTTGGCACCTCTAATTATGTAACAGCCCCCTTTATCCCTGGAAGTTTTCTACAATTTAAAATCTGGTTTGTCTGATTTGAATATATCCACCACAGCTTTCTTTGAGTAATGCCTAAATGACATATCTTTTCCCATTCTTTACTTTCAATATGCTATATAACTTTTAATCTCACATATAAGTATATTACTAGTGACTTTCCTGTAGTCAGCATATTCATTTATAATACATTCTGACAATTTCTGGTTTTCAATTCATTGTTTTAGATCATTTACATTTAATGTTTTTATAGATAAGTTTTTAGGTAGATCTATTGTTTTTCTTTCTGAGATGGAGTCTTGCTCTTGCCACCCAGGCTGGAGTGCCATGGTGCAATCTCCCCTCACTGCAACCTCTGCCTCCCAGGTTCAAGTGATTCTCCTGTCTCAGCCTCCCAAGTAGCTGGGATTACAGGCACCCGGCTTCATGCCTGGCTAATTTTTTGTATTTTTAGTAGAGACAGGGTTTCACCATGCTGGCCAGGCTGGTCTCAAACTCCTGACATCAGGTGATCCAGCCACCTCGGCCTCCCAAAGTGCTGGGATTACAGGCGTGAGACGCCGTGCCCAGCCGATAGATCTACTTTTTAATAATTTATTAATCATTTGTTCCCCTTGTCTTAATTCTTCTATGTTCTTCTTCCTAGTTTATTTTGGTTTATTTAAATCTGGTTCCTAAGTGGTCTAGGGATCACCATATACATATATAACCTTTCACAGTATACGTAGAATCAATATTTTACCATTCAAGTTGAATATAGAAACTTCATCAGCAGTTAGGCCCTTTACCTTTACCCTTTTATGTTATGTATGTAGCACATCTAGATACAATGGCAACTGCATCAGATAAAGTTACAATTTTTGCTTTCAATCATGAAACATACCTTAAGGAACTCAAGAGAAGAATAATAGTCTGTAATGTCTACCCAGACATTTTCTATTTCGGCTTTCGTTCCTTCACTGATGGTGTCCTGTCTCTTTCTGGTATCATTTTTCTCATCTTAAATCGTTGCTAATTCTTGTCCAGCAGTTCTACCAGCAATGAATTCTCTCAGTTTACCTTCCTGTGAGAATGTATTTATTTACCTTTAGTCTGAAAGATATTTTTGCTCTACATAGCATTCTGGGTTGACAGGTCTTTTCTTTTGGTATTTAGTAAATGTTTCCTTGGGCCCCTATGGTTTCTGATGAGAAGTCCACAGTCATTCAAGTGGCAGTTTCCCTTTTATTTTCATTTGGCTGCCTTCAAGATTTTTATGGTTTTCCTTAGTTTTCAGCAGTTTGATTATGATGTGTCTGGGTATGGATTTCTTTGGGTTTAACCTACTTGACATTTATTGAACTTCTAAAGTGTTTTGATAAATTTGATATGTTTTCAGCCATTAATTCTTCGGAGTTTTCTTTCTGGAGGACCTCTTTCTCTTCTTCCTGCAGGATTACAATGATGTGTTAGATTTTTCTTATTTTTCTGTTTGTCCGGGAGGCTCTGTTCATTTGCAAAAGCACTCCTTTTTCTCTATTGTTCAGGTTAGGTTGGTATTTTTGTTCTGTTTTCAAGTTCATTGACTTTATTCTGAGTGTCTCAATTTTGTTATTGAAATAACCCATTGAAGTTTTTTTTCTCCTAATAGTTTTGATGAATACATTTTTTAATTTTTAAGTTTAAAATCAGTGTTTAGAGCTTCCAGATACTTGCTAAGACTTCCCAACTTTCCATTCACTTCAAGAGTGTTATCCTTTCATTCATGGAGCATTGTTGTAATAACTGCTTAAAAGTATGTGTCAGATGATTGTAACATCTGTGTCTTCTCAGTATTGTTATTCGAGGATTCTCTTTGCCAAGTGAATTAAGATTGCCCTGGTTCTTCATATGCTGAATATTTTGGGGTTGTACTTTGCATTATGTGATGAGACACTGTGTCTTGTTGAAATCTTAAGGATAATATTGCTATTTTTGTTTTTGCAGGCATGTGATTGCCTTGTGTTCAAGTTCCAATAACCAGCCAGCCTTGTGTGTTGTAGTTTCAAAGTCGATTCTATTTTCAAAGCCTTAACACTGCTATTCAGAGACTCTGGAGTATGTGCAACCCAGTGGCCAGTGAGGACTGGAAAGTAGGCTATCACTTAGTTCGATTCTCAGGCTCTTTTTAGATAAGTTGTCTTTGATCAGAGCCACTTATTCACAGCTCACAGGCGCATCCAGGAGTTCACATACAACTTGACAGGTTTGCTCTCCACAGTGTCTTTCCTGGTTACTTGGCAACTCCTAGTTTCGGTCTCCCGATCAGAAAGCTGGGGCTGTATTTACCTGAGTGGCTCTGCCCTGCGCTTTCCATAATTATGCTGCATTTAGGACCAAGCTGCAGGAGGAAACAGGGAGAATAAGTGCAACTGGATATGTCCCTTTGTATCACAGCTCCTCAAAGAAACAGAAAACTAATTACACATCGATAGATCTATACTATACCACATACCAGTAGAATCTTAGTCAAGCCCGTATTGTTGCTGCCCTTACATAATGAGCCAAAGAAGTGTCCAGGCTGCTACTGAGATGAGTGTCTAACTTACTGTTTTCTGAGATCAGTGTCTAACACATATTTTTTTCCACTGTAACCTGGAGACCTGAGGTCCGACTAGTGAAACCTGGAGAATGTGGGCATCAATCCCACTACCTCTCACATGCTAAGCGAGCACTCCACCACTTGAGCTACTTCTTCATCTCACAGCATCTTTTTTCATCCTTAGTGGGCAGTCTAGAACACACGCGACTTCAAGGCCTTCACCGCGAAAGCAGGGCTCCACTAAGAGCAGATCTTCTCATTGATGGCCCAGGGCAAGAGTGCAGTGGGTACTTATTCTCTGTGAGGAGGGAGGAGAAAAGGGAACAAGGAGAAAGTCACAAAGGGAAAACTCTGGTGTTGCCAAAATGTCAAGTTTCACATATTCCGAGACGGAAAATGACATGTCCCACAGAAGGACCCTGCCCAGCTAATGTGTCACAGATATCTCAGGAAGCTTAAATGATTTTTTTAAAAGAAAAGAGATGGCATTGTCACTTGTTTCTTGTAGCTGAGGCTGTGGGATGATGCAGATTTCTGGAAGGCAAAGAGCTCCTGCTTTTTCCACACCGAGGGACTTTCAGGAATGAGGCCAGGGTGCTGAGCACTACACCAGGAAATCCCTGGAGAGTGTTTTTCTTACTTACATCTGAGACATGTGTTGTCTTCTTGCTAAGGTGTGTCATGTAAAAGTTACATATCCAACTGCATGGCAGAACAATAATAACAAAAAAATGCAGATAAGAGGCATAAAGAATAAGAGACAAAGATCATATCAGAGTGAAAGAATAAAGAAAACACATTCAGCAATGCAGAGAAAGAGTGGACATAGGGTGGAGAAAACCTAGGGTAGGTATAGGGTGGAATGTTTGTAGGAATTCCTGTGTAAAGAAATATGCCTGTTCAATTTAAGTGGAGTGTGTGTGTGTGTGTGTGTGTGTGTGTGTGTGTAAAATATACACGGAGGGAAGTAGTGATTGAAAAGCCTGGATGCTTGGAGATATGTTGGGAGAATATTATAAAAGCTAAAGACTCATTGAAAAAATTCCAGGTAGAAAAGCAGCATTTTAGGGAAAGGTTTTTAGTTTTAAATGTCAAAGAACTTGAAAATGGAAAAACTGGATCTGGGGAGAAAGAGAAAGAAGTCATAAAGATATTAAAGGATTGAGATTTATCCACATTGACTGTGTCAGTTCCTGAGGTGAACAGCATGAGTCTTTCTGCAGCTTCAATCCCCTTCACACTTCATGGTGAAGAAAACATCCTCCATGAACATCATAGCATGGATAAAGAAGGAGGTGAGTAAAACAGAAGAAAAAGATTCTGCAGAGTTTATGCAGGAAGGATCTACAGTATTTGTCAAGACATTGGGTGGAGAGATTTGAGGGAGAGGAGACAAAGGCACTGGCAAGTCTTGAGCCCGGTGTGGCAGACACAGAAGAGATTTTGAATTCATATCTGATCGATGCAAGAATAAATCCACTCATTTATCTGTATTTGGTAAATGAATGAATGTTACATGAGTGAGCTGGTGTGAAGAAAATAGATGATAAGACTATGTGCTAGACTAAAGCAAGAGCTTGTGATTTTTTTCATTGAGAAAGAAATCTGCTTCTCATATCTGGTTTCCCTCTTTAAAGTTATGTGATCTAAGGAAAATGGTTTAACTGCTCTGAGCTTCAGTGTCATCTGTAACACTAGGGTAATAATACTTGGGGAAGCTGAAAAACTATATCGACCAACTTACATAAAAATTAATAAACAGTCAGTATAGTTTCTAGCACATAGAGCTGAAAAATTCTTGAACGTGGAGTATTGTTCACCTTTAAGGAAAATGTTCTGAAGGTCTAAGGAGAGAGATCAGTGCAGTTTTGTTGCCATTGGCTGATTTGCTCATTTGTTTTGTAGCAATAAGCTTCTGTGATGATAAAAATGAAATAAAGTTTAAAAAGTAAAATAGATGGTGGAGAAACACAATAGGGATGCATAGTAAGGTATGATTTTCTAGGCAAAATGGATTTGTACAAAAGAATGTAGTAGTAAAGGATTTGTGCCTGATTCTTGTTGTATTATTTTTGAGTCTCATTTAGCCTGTATTCTAATTCCCCAATTGTTGTGATCCTTCTCCCAACAAGATTATTTCTTTGCACCGTGAACATTCTGGTCAGATTCTCTGCTTAACCATCTTGACCACGTGAGCACTCATCTTTGTACTGAGACCCTGATATAGGCCCAAATGATGCCCTTCCATAGTGGCGCTTCTTGCTTTGCCCAAAGAGCATTCAATTTTTCAAGCCATTTAGGGCTCTTTCCTCACCCGGGGTCTATATGAAACCTTAGAGGGAAGCCTGTTCTCTCCAGGAAGAGAATCCCGGTGAGTTCTAACCTCAACCTGTAAATCCACTAAGCAAGTTCCTACTGAACACGTATGATGCAAGCTCAATCCAAGAGGCCAGGGAGAAGGCAACCAAAGCAGTAGGTAATGCTTACTGAGCAGTTCCTATTGCCCAGATCCATCTCTAGGTGCTGAGATCCAGCCGGAGAATCCTAGAGTCCTCATTTCCCATGTAAAGAAAGACTATTGGAAGAAAGGGAAGCTAAATGATATCTTCAAGGTGACAACTTCCCTGATTCTTCTCCTGAAAAGTGAATGTGTCACCTCCACACTGCCGAGTCCTTTACTGCCTAATGACTCCCTCCCAGTAGATAATATCACATGACTTCTTGTTTATTTTTCTTTTTTGCTTCTGTCTCTTTCTCCCCACTCCCCCCAACATTGACGTAGTATCACAAAGGTGAGAATATCTGTATTTTATTCACTGCGAATTGCTATACCCAAAACAGTCTCTTAACAAGATATGTGTTGAGAACTATCGGTTGGACGCTTAAAAGAATAAAAGACTTTACCCACCCCACCCCATAATTATGTTTGGATGACCTTCAGAGCAGGCAATTGGAAGAGAAATTTCCCCTGCCTCCCCTGTCAGCTAGAGAGGTAGACATAAGACATAGCTTGCAGTTTCTGGTGTAATTTATATGCCTTCACCACGCCTTGTACTCAAGCGACTGAGAAGCCAAAAGAAGGAAAAAATAAATAAAGACAGACAGAGAAAGGAAAGGAAAGAAGGAAGGAAGGAAGGAAGGAAAGAAGGAAGGAAGGAAGCAAGGAAGAAAGAAAGAAAGAAAGAAAGAAAGAAAGAGAAAAAGAAAGAAAGAAAAGAAAAGAAAACTCACTTTTAAATTTTAAGCTAATATTTGGTCTGTCTTGAAATCATTATCTCATAGCATTTGTGTTCCATTATTTATCACACCTATTTCATTTCTCTTAATGGAAATAGCGGCATAAGCTGTGCCTTGTCTCATGTTCAAACTCAGGACCTTCAGAATACGAGATTGACAGGTGGCCTGCTGCTCTAAGAGAGCAACTGTTCCTAAGAGGTGACATCCAGATTATTAAATCTCATTTCCCACGCACTGCTGCTTTATCAATTCCTAGCTTTTAAAGAACACAATCAATGCTACTTGGAAATCACTCCTTATCAGTCAATGCTGCACTGGAAGAATTCCCCACTCAGGACAGGTGGAGTCCACCCGTTTCCAGTATTCACATAATGATAGGACCTTCTGGCTTGAGGGACCAGACACAATTGTACCTGTCTTGCTGCTTTTTTTCCTCTTGTGGCCCAGTCATCTAGCTTTTCCCTTCTTCAGAGATCTTAGTCATTCTTCCTTTCCGTAGTCTCCTTTGTTGATAAGAAACAGAGGTAGTGCTCAATTCATGATAGTTCATTGAGTGACCAACTGAATGAATGAAGGAAGAAATAGCCTTCCAAGGTGTCTGCCATTCATACTACTCTTACTGTGTATCTACACTTGCATCTCTATGACTGGAGACATTCACTCAACAAAAAATACAAACTAAACTTTTAATCATATCCTCCCTGTTTTTCCTCATATTTTTGTGCCGTGAATTATACTAGGAGACTTAGGGAGTTTACTTGATGTAGTCTGATTGACTTTTGCCAACAAAATTATGCCTTAGTATGCACTTTTTAGAAGTAATAGAGAATCAGATAGGCTAAGTGCGTTTTTGTTGTTGTTGTTTGTTGTTTGTTTGTTCTGTGAGACGGAGTCTCGCTCTGTCTCCCAGGCTGGAGTGCAGTGGCCCGATCTGGGCTCACTGCAAGCTCCGCCTCCCAGGTTCAGGCCATTCTCCTGCCTCAGCCTCCCGAGTAGCTGGGACTACAGGCACCCGCCACCATGCCCGGCTAATTTTTTTGTATTTTTTCAGTAGAGACAGGGTTTCACCGTGTTAGCCAGAATGGTCTCTATCTCTTGACCTCCTGATCCGCCCGCCTCGGCCTCCCAAAGTGCTGGGATTACAGGCGTGAGCCACCGTGCCCGGTCAAGTGTTTTTTTTTTTTTTTTTTTTTTTAAATGCCAAAGCTGCTAAGTGGGAAAGCCCGAATTGAGAAGCAGATATTTTTAGATTTTGCATGTGATTTTTTTCCCTCTGCTCCAGCTCACGGTTATTCTGCCCATTCTTTTGCACTTTAGCTCATTCACTCATACACCAAATATCTAATTCCAGACCTCCTCTTTACTTACCTTTTGGGCTTAACTTTTTAAAAATTTTTTTTAAAAATTTTTTTGAGTTGGAGTCTCACTCTGTTGCCCAGGCTGCAGTGTAGTGGCACAATCTTGGCTCACTGCAACCTCTGCCTCCTGGGTTCAAGTGATTCTTCTGCCTCAGCCTCCCGAGTAGCTAGGACTACAGGTGCCCCGCTAGTTTTTGAATTTTTAGTAGAGACGGGGTTCCACCATGTTGGCCAGGCTGGTCTCAAACTCCTGACCTCAGGTGATCTGCCTGCCTTGGTCTCCCAAAGTGCTGGGATTACAGGTGCGAGCCACTGCGCCCGGCCTGGGCTTAACTTTTATATTTTATTTTATTTTATTTTATTTTATTTTATTTATTTTATTTTATTTTATTTCATTTCATTTCATTTCATTTTAAGACAAGGTGTCACTTTACTGCCAGGGCACTGGTGTGATCTCTGTTCACTGCAACCTCCGCCTCCCGGGTTCCAGTGATGCTCCCACCTCAGCCTCCTGAGTAGCTGGAACTACAGATGCATACCACCACACCCGGCTAATTTTTGTTTTTTTTTGTAGAGACAGGATTTCACTGGGTTGCCCAGGCTGGTCTCAAACTCCTGGCGTCAAGGGATCTGCCCACCTCGGCCTCCCAAAGTGCTGGGATTACAGAAATGAGCCACCACGTCTGGCCTTGGGCTTACCTTTCAAGTCAACTTTGATTCATTGTCTTCCATCAAACACCACATTCAATGATTTGCCAAATAATGAACATTATTCTTGCACAACTCTTTTGAATCTATCAATTACTTTCCACTCATTTAGTACATATTCACTGGGGAGATGCTCTGTGCCAGACACTGTAGTAGGATCAGGTAATTCAGAGGAAGTATAGACACCCTAGACCTCAAAAGAAAACAAGATAAATATAGATGAGGGAAGATCCACCTCCAGATTCACCATTTTCAGTCTTTCTGTCATTTCCAGCTAAATAATGCCTTCAAAACTCTTTCAAAATAACTAAGTCACTATTTCAAACTCTTTCAATAATAGCACCCTTCTATATGATGGACCACTCTTAATTTCCTGGTTATAACATGATCTTACTTTTCTTTTAATTTTTGTCTTTGCTTTCTGGCTAAATTTTTATTTTGCGTTATGAAGTTGATCAGATCCATTGGTGGATGGTGTGGTTCAGTTCTCCAATATGTTGGCTGATTTGTTGTCTACTAAGTCTACCAATGACTGAGAGAGGAGTTTTAGTGTCTTCAACTAAAATTGGATATTTCTATTTTTACCTGGCTTATCTAATTTTGTTTATGAGTTTTGAAAATCTGTGTCCTCATATACATTTGGAACAGTATTCCCTGGAGAATGGACATTCGTAATTATCTAGCAGCCTTCATTATTCCTGAAAAGTTTCTCTGCTTTCAAATCTACTTTGTCTGATTTTAATGTATACACCACAGCTGTCTTTGATTAATGCTTGCATGAGGTATCTTTCCCACTCTTTTCCTTCAATCTGCTATATAACTTTTATTCTGATATATAAGTGTATTGCAGGTGGCTTTCTTACAGTCAGCATATTTACTTTTAATACATTCTGATGATCTCTAGTTTTTAATTAAGGATTTAGATCATTTACGTGTAATGTTAATATAGATAAGTTTTTAGATAGATCTATTTAATAATGTATTAACCTTTGTTCCCTTTGTTTTAATTCTTCTATGTTCCTCTGTCTATCTTGTTTTGGTTTATTTCAATCTGGTTAGTAAGTGGTCTAGGGATTACCATATACGTATATAACTTTTCACAGTATACTTAGAATCAATATTTTACCATTCAAGTTGAATATAGAAACTTCATCAAGAGTTAGGCCCATTACACTTACCCTTTTATCTTATCTATGTAGTACATCTCGATACAATGACAACTGCTTCTGATAAAGTTACAATTTTGGCTTTCAATCATCAAACATACCTTAAGGAACTCAGGAGAAGAAGAACAGTCTGTTATGTCTACCCAGACATTTTCTATTTCTGCTTTCGTTCCTTCATTGACGATGTTCTAAGTTTCCTTCTGGTATCACTTTTCTTATCTCAAATCTTTGCTAATTCTTTTCCAGCATTCTTGCTAAGAATGAGAATGTATTGACTTACCTTCCAATGAGAATGCATTTATTTGCCTTTATGTCTGAAAGATACTTTTGCTCCACATAGCATTCTGGGTTGATAGGTCTTTTTCTTTTGTTACTTACTGAACATTATGACATTTTTTTCTGGCCGCTATGGTTCCTGATGAGAAATCTACACTCATTCATATGGTAGTTTCTTTTTCATTTTCCTTTGACTGCTTTCAAGATTGTTTTGTACTTTCCTCGTTTTCAGCAGTTTGATTATGATACGTCTTGAAATGGGTTGGGTTTCTTTGGGTTTATCCTGCTTGACCTTTGCTGAACTTTAAAAACCTGGTTTATATCTTTTGACAAATTTGATACATTTTCAGCCATTAATTCTTCAAAGTTTTATCCCACAAAGACCTCTTTGTCCTCTTCTTTTCAGATTACAATAATGTGAATGTTAGATTTGCTATTTTTTAATTTGTCCCTGAGCCTCTGTTCATTTACAGAAATACTCCTTTCTCTCTATAGCTCAGATTATGTAGGTATTCTTGTTCTGTTTTCAAGTTCGTTGACTTTTTCTTAGTCATCTGCATTCTGTTATCGAGATCATCCAGTTAAGCTTTTTATTTCCCCTAAGAGTTTTGGTTAATACATTTTTTTAAATTCTTAAGCTTAAAATTGGTGTTTATATATTCCAGATATTTGCTGAGACTTTCCAACTTTCCATTCACTTCACGAATGTTATCCCCTAATTCTAGGAGCATTGTTATCATAACTGCTCCACTGTATGCGTCAGATGATTTTGACATCTGTGTCCTCTCAGTATTGTTATTCGAGGAGTCTCTTTGCCATGTGAATGAAGATCTCCCTGTTTTTTTCATAATGCCGAAGATTTTGGGGCTTGTAACCTGGACTTCTTTGGATTATGTGATGAGACACTGTGTTTTGTTGAAATCTTAAGAATAATATTGCTATTTTTGTTTTTGCAGGCACAAAATTGCCTTGTATTCAAGTTCCAAGTACCAACCAGCCTTCCACGTGTTGTTGTTTCAAAGATAACTCTATTTGCAAAGCCTTTACGCCACTGTTCAGAGATTTCCGGAGTGTGTGCAACTTCAGTGAGGACTGGAAAGTGGGCCATTGCGCAGTTCAGCTCTCAGGCTCTTTGTAGGTAAGTTGTTTGGGATTAGAGCCACTTATTCACAGCTGGCAGGTGTGTCCACAAGCTCATGAACAACTTTATGGGTTTGCTTTCTACAGTATCTGTCCAGGCACATTCTAGTTACTTGACACATCCTGGTTTCAGTCCCCTGAGCAGAAAGCCGAGGCTGTGTTTACCCAGGTGGCTCTGCCCTGCACATTTCACGATTGTCTGAGGTTTAGGACCAAGCTGCAGGCAGAAACAGGGAGAAAAGAGCAGTTGTATATGTCCCTTGGTTTCACAGCTCCTTGAGGAAACAGCAAATGAATTACACAGTAGATCTACACTATACTGAATGCCAGGAGGGAGCCATCACCAGGCCTGTATTGTTGCTGCTCCTATGTCTTGAACCAAAGCAGCATCCTGCTCTCAGACACTAACTTGGGTTTGGATACTTGAGTGTTTGGAGACCCAAGGTCCAAATAATAAAGCTTGGAGAATGTGGGCATCGATCCCACTACCTCTTGCATGCTAAGCAAGCGCTCTACCGCTTGAGCTAATTCCCCACGTCAGGGGAGCTTTCTTGATCTTTAGTGGGTGTCCTGGAACACAGGGGATTTCAAGGCCTTCAGCGGGAAAGCAGGGCTCTACTAAGAGCAGGTCTTCTCACTGATGGCCCAGGGCAAGGCGCAGTGGCTACTCATTCTCTGCAAAGAAGGAGGAGAAAGGGAACAAGGAGAAAGTCACAAAGGGAAAACTCGTGCTGCCAAAATGTCAAGTTTAGGGTATTCCGGGACAGAAAAAGGCACATCCCAGCAAAGGAGGACATGTCTAGACCTGCCCAGCTAAAGTGTCAGAGATTTTAAAAAAATGATTAAATGATTAAAAATGATTAAATGATTGTGTGTGTGTGTGTGTGTGTGTGTGTGTGTGTGTGTGTGTGTGTGTTTGTGTGTGTTTATAAAAGTGGGATGGAATTATCACTTTTCCTTGTAGCTGAGACTGTCTGGGGGTTGTGAGATGGTCCAGATTTCTGGAAGGCAAAAAGCTCCTGCTGTTTTCGTAACTAGGCCATTCCACCAATGAGGCCAGCGTGCTGACCACTCCCATAGGAAACCCCTGGAGAGTGCTTCTTTCACTTACATCTGAGATATGAGTTGCCTCCTTGCTAAGGTGTGTCATGTACAAGTTACATGTCCAACTATATTTCAGAACAACAACAACAAAATTACAGAGCAGAGCCATAAAGAATAAGAGACAAGATCGTATCAGAGTGTAAGAATATGTAAAATATAGTGTAAGAATCAAAATTGAGCTATGCAGAGAAGGAGTGGACATATGGTGGAGAAAACCGGGCTGTTTGTAAGAATTCTTGTGTAAAGAAATAAACCTGTTCAATTTAAGTGGAGAGTGTGTGTGTGTGTGTGTGTGTGTGTGTGTGAAATACACATGGAGGGAAGCAGTGATTGAAAAGCCTGGCCACTTGGAGATATATTGGGAGAGTTTTATGAAAAATCCCATGACTAACTGAAAATATCCCAGGCAGAATGCTTAAATAATTAAAGCAACATGTTAGAGAAAGGTGTTTAGTTTTGAATGTCAGAGCTTGAACATGAGAAAACAGGAACTGGGGAGAAAGGGAAAGAAGTCATAAAGATATTAAAGGATTGAGGTTTACCCACATTTATCATGTCAGCACCTGAGGTGGACAGCAGAAGTCTTTCTGCAGAGCTAGTGCCCACGACACTTCATGCTGCAGAACACATCCTCCGTAAACACTGTAGCATGAATGATGACAGAGGTGAAAGAAAAGGAAGAAAAGATTCTGGAGACGTTGTACAGGAAGGATCTACTTTATTTGTCAAGATATTGGGTGGAGAGATTTGAGGGAGAGGAGACAAAGACACTGGGACGTCTTGAGCCTAGTGTGGTAGACACAAAAGAGATTCTGAATTAATATCTGATGAATGAATCCGCTCATTTATTTGTATTTGTTATGTGAATGAATGTTACATGAATGACCTGGTGTGGAGAAAACAGATGGCGAGACTATGTGCTAGGGTAAAGCAAGAGCTCAAGTTTTTTTGTTTTTGTTTTTTAATTTAGAAAGAAATCTGCTTTTCATATCTGGTTTTCCTGTTTAAAGCTACGTGATTTGAGGAAAATGGTTTAACTCCTCTGAGCTTTACTGTCATCTACAAAATTTAGATAATGTTACTGAGGGAAGCTGAAAAGTCGTATCAACCAACTTATATAAAGAATAATAAACATTCAGTTCCATTTCTAATGCATACTGCTGAAAAGTCCTTGTATGTGGAATATTGTTCACCTTTAAGGAATCTGCTCTCAAGAGCTGATGAGGGACTATTTAAGTGCAGTTCTGTTGTCACTGGCTGTTGTGCTCATTTAGTTGGAACCAGCAAGTCTCTGTGAACATAAAAATAAAATAAAGATTGTGGAGGAATAGAATATAAACACATAGTAAGGTGAGATTTGCACAACAGAATATAGTAAAGATTTGTGCCTGATTCTTTTTGCATTCTCTTTGAATCATTTTTAGCCTTTATTCTAAGTCCCCAGTTACGGTTATCCTTCTCCCAACAAGATTGTTTCTCTTCACCACGGATATTCTGATGAGGCTCTCTGCTTAACCATCTAGACCTCCTGAACACTCTGTTTGTCCTGATAACCTGATTTATGCTCAAATGATGCTCTTCCACAGCAGGGCTTCCTGCTTTGCCCAAAGAACATTCAATTTCTGAAGCCATTTAGGGCTGTTTCCTCACCCAGTATCTATGTGAAACCTTAGAGGGAAGCCTATTCTTTCCAAGAAGAGAACCCTGCTGGGTTCTACCCTCAATCTGTAAATCCACTGGGGTAACTGGGATTAGCTCAGATTAGCAACTGGGGTTAGCTCAGCTACTCCAGAGCTTGCTCTCTGGGAACGGATGGTGCTGCTACTTCCCATAAAGGCTGACTAAAAAGAGGCATCTGCAGGCAGGAGAAAGCGCTATGGCAGTTGCTGGAAGATTGCTTCTGACCATTGGCTATCTCTCTGACCTGATGGGAGAAGGGTGACAAAAATTGGACACTTGAAAAACAGGCCAAAAAAAAAAAAAAAAATCAAAGGAATTTTAAAAGAACCATGCACAAATTCTTAATTAGATTCTTTTATCCAAATCCATTTTGTCTGGAAAATTATGCCTTAGTATGTATCTGTATTCTATTCCTCCATAATCTATTTTATTTTATTTTATTTTATTATTTTATTTTATTTTATTTTAATGTTCACAAGAAGCTGGATGCTAGCTACCAAATGAGCAAATCAGCTACGACAACAGAACTGCCCTAAAGTCTCCCATCAGATATTGATGTAGTCAAGACCCTCATGAGTGCCTATGATACAAATTCAGTGTGAGAGGCCAGCTTTCCACAAGGAGAAGGCAACCAAAGCGGTAGCTAATACTGAGCAGTTCCTATTGCCCAGATCCATCTCTAGGTGCTGAGATCCAGCCAGAGAATCCCACAGTCCTCATTTTTCATATGAAGAAACATGTGAGGGATTGACAACCCCAGTCCTCATGTATCATCAGTTTTCCAAGGAAGCCAACTAGCCTTCTGGGCAAAAAGCTCTCCTAACCCCCAGTTGCCTTGATAGGTAAAAGTACTCTTATGACAGTGTTAGAAAAACACGGGCACAAGTGTTCCAGCAAGATGGCTAGAAGAAGGCAAGGCTAAAGTTGTCAAGGTGACAGAGTCCCTGATTGTCCTCCTGAAAGCTGAATGTGCCACCTCCACATTCCCAAACCCTTTACTGCCTAGCGATTCCCTCACAGTAGACATCGTCAAATCACTTCTTACATATTTTTGATTGTTTCCTGTCTGTTTCTCCCCACTCCTCCCAAGTATGATGTAGTTTCGCAATAGTAGGAATATTTGTGCTGAATACACTTTCACCCCACTCCTCCCAAGTAGGATGTAGTTTCACAGTGGTAGGAATGTTTGCGTTGTATTCACTCTTGACCCCAGTCTCTTAACAAGATATGTGTTCAAGAAATATTTGTTGGATGATTAAAAGAATAAATGACTTCACCCATCCACCCAATAATTAGTGTGAGGTGACCCTGAGAGCGGGAAGTTGGAAGAGAAATTTCCCCTGCTTCCTGTGTCAGCTAGAAAGACCAATTATATGACATAGCTTGTAGTTTCTGGTGTAATCTACTCTTCTGTTTTCACCACTCATTTTACTCAAACCACTGGAAAGTCGAAAAAACAAGAAAACCTAAATTATATTTCCATTTTCTACAAATATTGGGTCAGTCTTCAAATCCTTATCTGCTATAGCATTTGCGTTGCGTTCCGATATTTAGTGTATCCAACTTCTTTGGCAGAAGTGATGCCCTCTCTGAGGCTTGAACTCAGGACCTTCAGATTATGAGACTGACGCGCTGCCAGCTGCGCTAAGAGGGCTTGCTGTTGAGCTCGGGCAACATCCATTTTGTCGAAGTGTATTTCCCACCTACGTTACGGTTTCAGCTTTCAAAAACTACAATCAATCCTACTTGAAAATTACTCTGTATCAATCAACGCTGCACTAGGAAGATTCCATACCCACGACCAGAGGAGTCTACGCCTTTCCAGTATTTCATAGGACCGTCTGGGTTCTGCGTTACCAGGATCAATTGTACCTGTCTTTTGCTGCTCTTTTTCCCTTTTCCTTCCCTCAGAAACCTTAGTCACTCTTACACTTTCCATAGTCTCCTCTGTTGAAAAGAGACAGGAGGTTCTCAGTTCATGATAGTTCACTGACCACCTGGATAAATGAATGAAGAAATAGCCATCAAACCTGTCTCTTGATCATACTACTGTCTTCCTTCATATCTCCACTTGCATCTACATGACTGAAGACATTGCCGCTACAAAAAAAAACACAAAATACTTATAATGGCACCCTCTTTGTTTTTTACCCCTTTGTTTTTTCTTGTGTGCTATTAAGTATACTACGAGATTTCTTGCGTTTACGTAGTCCAGTTGAATTTCGCTAACAAAACGATGTATCCTAATGTGCACTTTCTAGATGTACTGGAGGCTCAGATAATTATTGTTTCTAAGGTGCCAGAGATGCTAGGTGGCAAAGCCTGAACTGACAAGCACATTTATTTTAGATTCCAAAAGGTGAGTCTTTTCTCTGCTCCTGCTCATTATCTCTCTGCCTGTTTTTCTCCACAGTAGTCCATTCATTCATATACCACATATCTAATTCTCAACCTCCTCCTGGGCCTAGATTTCCAAGTCAACTTTGACTCATTGTCCTCCTTCAAACACCACATTCAGTGATTTGCCAAATACTGAACATTATTCTTGCAGGTCTCTTCTGAATCCGTCAGTTCCTTTCTACTCATTCAGTACATATTTGCTGGAGAGATGCTCTGTGCCAGACACTGTAGTAGGCCCAGGAATTTCAGGAGACATTTGGCCAGCCCAGACCTCAAGAAAAAGCAGGATACATATGGACAAGGAAAGATTCACTTACAGATTCGCCGTTATCGGTCTTCCTGCTATTTAAGTAACTGTTTCAGAAATATCAGTTTCAATAATGTCACTTTTCTGCACTCTGACCATTCGTGATTTCCTACTTATAATATGATCTTGCTTTTCTTTGATTTTTTTGGCTCGCCTTTCTACATAAATTGTGATTTTGCTTTATAAAGTCTATTAGATCCATTGGTGGATGGTGTTGTTCTGTTCTCTAAAATGTTTGCTGATTTGTTTTCTCCTGAATCTATCAATTACTGAGAGAGGAGTGTTAACGTCTGCAACTGTAATTGGATTTTTCTATTTTCTTTCTGGTTTATCCATTTTGTTCATAAGTTTTGAAGCTCTGTGGCCAGAAACAGACATATTTAGGACAGTTGTGTCCCTTCGGTGAATAGACGCTTTATAATTATATAACATCTGTCTTTCTATCTGAGGGCCTCATCTCGTGTTAGGCAAGTGAGTGAGATAACCTCTACACTACACTGAGGAAACCCTCAGACTTCCTAAATCTAAGATAGATATATCTAAGATATTCAAGGTATGTATATATCTTAGATTTCTAAGATATATAGGATATATTTATGTTAGATTTATATATATATATATATACACATACTTATATTCAAGTCTTTTTAAGTTACATCATATAGAACTCACATATTCACATCACATAAGAAAACAGCAAAAATCACAAAAGTATTACAGACAAGAACCATGGGGATTAAAAGATCAGTTTGTAGTAAAGGGATAAATATGAACCTTGAAGGATGCAGATGAGGAAGAATGCACATGAGTTTGAAGGAACAGGCATAGATGTAGGAATTCCTGTGTGAGGAAACATGCCTGTTCACTTGGGATGTGTAGTGCACAAGTGCATATGTGCCTGCTTGTGTGTGTGCCTGTTTATAAAATGAAAGGAAGTAGTGATTGAAATGCCTGTGCACATGGAGATAATGATTGGGAAAACATTGAGACTTAAGAACCCTTGAAAAAATTGCAGACAGCTTACATAACCAAATTAACATTTAAGAAAAAGGTGTTTAGTGTTGGATGTCAAAGAGCTTGGGAACAGGAAGACTGTAATTGAAGAGAAATGGAAAGAAGTTATAAATAGATTAAAGAATTGAGGTTTATTCACATTTATTCCGTCAGCTTCTGAAGTGAACAGCATGAGTCTTTCCGTAGCTCCAGTGCCCATTATACTTTGTGGTGCAGACTACGTCCTCCATAAACGTGGTAGAATGGGCAAGAGAAACATGAGTGAAAGGTAAGAAAAACATTCTGGAGAGGCTGTGCAGGAAAGATCTATGGTATTTGTCAAGACATTGGTGTAAACATTTGAGGGAGAAGTCTTGACACTGTGGCACACAAGAGATCCTGAATTAATGTCTGATGAATGGAACAATAAATCTAGACATTTCTAAGTATTTGTCAAATGAATAGAAGGATGAACAGATGAGCTGGTGTGGAGAAAAACAGATGATGAGACTATGTGCTAAATTACAGAATGAACAAGAGTTTGTGTTTTCTTATTGTGGTAAAATATACTTAACCCATTTTACATTTAAAATTCTAAGTGTTCAATTTAGTGGCATTACGTACATTTACAATGTGAGCAACTATCACCACTACCCATTTCCAGAAGTTTCTCAGCATCCCAAACAGCAACTCTGTACCCATTAAACAATAACTCCACATTTCCCTCTCCCCAACAACCTCTATTCTTTCTGTCTACATGAATTTGCCTATTCAAGATGTCTAAAGTAGAATCACAAAACATGTTTTTAAATTGGGAAAAAATAAGCTTTCTGTATTTGGTTTTGCTCTTTACAGCTACATATTCGCAACTCAGGGGTGCACTCGGTGAGTTGACAAACCACTTGTGGGTTTGCTTTCCACACTCTCAGCAGGACTTCCCGGTGACTCGGAACTCCACTTTACAGCGCCCTGACCAGAAAGAAAGCTGGGGTTTTACTCATCCTGCTCTGCCCTGCATTTTCCAGAGCTGTGCTGCATTTTGGCATTTTGGGTCAAGCTGCAGGAAGGAGAGAAAAGGAACAATTGGGTATATCCCACCCTCTTGGGATCTCCTCTTTCCTCTGAATAAAGAGAAAACAACTTAGAAAATGGGTACTGTCCACTGAACGTTTTAGGGGCTATTATTAGCACTGTTTCTTTATGCCCATAGGTCTTTTACCAGTGAAGCATTCAAGATGGCTGGTACTTCCTCGTTTTCTTCGACAGGTGACTAATGAAGCCGTTCTCCACGTTGTACTGTATGGACATGCGGCCCCAAGTGACAACATCGATCCCACTACCTCTCACATGCTAAGCGAGTACTCTACCACTTGCGCTCACTCGTCACCTACCGCAAAACTTTCTGCCCTTTCCTTTATTCAGGAGTAGATGTGCGCGACTACCCACCATTTCTTGCGTCTCGGAACAAAGGAAATGTCTCGATTATTAGTGGGGAACCAGGACTCGACCTAAGGCGAGTCTACTCAAAAATGGCCAAGGGCAAGGGCATGATGGCTATTCCTCTGCGAGGGAGAGGGGAAAACGTAACCAGGAGAAAGTGGACACTGGAAAAGTCTGGTGCTGTAAGATTTCACGTTCCAGATTTTCAGGGAGAGAAGCGAGCACGTCCCAGCTGGGGAGCGCCCGCCCAGAGCGGCCTGCTAATTTGGCACAGCTATCCCAGGATGACGATCTTTCTTTTAAAAGAGGCGGGATTATCACTTGTTCCTTGCAGCTCTGGACTCCCGGGAAGAAGCGGCCACTCCCGGTCAGATTCTGGGAGACCAGAGAAACCTGTTGTTTCCGTTGAGTTTCAAATAGAGGACCTTCCATGTGTTAGGCCAGCGTGGTAACGACTACACCATAGAAACCCTTTGCATCACAGGCTTTTTATATTTTGAGATGAGCATTAAATACTGGTTTTTACAATTTTTTTAGTTGACAAGTACAAAATGTATATATTTATGATGTACAACATGATGTTTTCATATATGCATACATTGTGGAATGGTTAACTCGAGCTAATTAACGTATCTATTACTTAGTGTGTGTGTGTGATGGGAACACTTAAGTCTACTCTTTTAGCAACTATAAAGTACAGAATACACTTATTATTAACTGTAGTCACCATACGGCACAGTAGATCTGACCTTATTCCTCCTGTTTAACTGAAATTTTGTGTCCTTTGACAAACATCTCTCTAATTCCATTCCTACCTCCCATCTCCTCCCCTAGCCCCTGGTAACTACCATTCTACTCTCTGCTTTGATGAGTTTGACGTTTATTAGAGTTCACATTTAAGTGAGATCGTGCAGTATTTGTCTTTCTGCGCCTGGCTTATTTCACTTAACACAATGCCCTCCAGGTTCATCGACATCGAAAATGACAGGATTTCTGTTTTTTAAAAGACTGAATAGTATTTCATTGTGCAGTTGTAATATTTTCTTTATCCATTCATCTGCTGATAGACGCTTAGGTTGATTCAGCTACTTTAGTAGTAATTCTGCAATGAACATGAGAGTGCAGGTATCTCTTCAATAGCCCGATTTTTGAACATATACCCAGAAGTGGGATTGCTGGATCATATGATAGTGCTCTTTTTAGTTTTTTGAGGAACTGCTGTACAAAACAGCTGCACTAATTTACATTCCTACCAACAACGTACAAGGATTCTCTTTTCTCCACATTCTTGCCAACACCTGTTATCTTTTGCCTTTTTGATAGCAGCCATTTTAACAGGTGTGGTTTTGATTTGCATGTGCCTGATGATAAATGACATTAAGCAAGTTTTCATATGCCTGTTGGCAATGTGTCTTCCTTTGAGAAATGTCTATTAAGGTCCTTTCTCCATGTTTTAATTGGGTTATTTGTTTTCTTGCTATTGAGTTGAGTTCCTGATGTATTTTTTATATCAACCACTTACAGAAGTATGGTTTGCAAATATTTTCTCCCAATCTATCGGTTGTCTCTTCACTGTTGATTTTTTTTGGGGGGGGCTGTGCAGAAGTTCTTTAGTTTCATGTAATCTTATTTATCTATTTTTGTCTTTTTGCTTTTGGGGGGGTTCATATCCAAAAAATCATTGCACAGACCAATGTTATGGAGCATTCCCCATATGTTTTCTTCTAGAAGTTTTAGAGTCTCACATCTTATGTTTGTCTTCAATCAATTTTTAGTTGATTTTTGTATGTGGTATGAGATAAGGGCCTCCTATCATTTTTCTGCATGTAGATATCCAGTTGTCCCAACACCATTTATTGAAGAGACTATCCTTTCCTCATTATGTGTCTAGGCACGTCTGTCAAAAATTAATTGACTATAAATGTGTGGATTTATTTCTGCCCTCTCTATTCTGTTCCACTGGTTTATATGTCTGTTTTTCCACCAGTACTATGCTGTTTTGATTGCTATATATTTGTAGTATATTTTTAAAGTCAGGTAGTATGATGCCTCCAGTTTTGTTTTTGCTCAAGATTGCTTTGGCTATTTGGGGCCTTTTGTGCTTCCATATGAATTTTAAGGGTTTTTTTTTTCTATTTCTGTGAAAAATGTCATTGGGATTTTGATAGAGATTGCGCTGAATCTGTAGATCACTTTGGGGGGGTATGGATGTTTTAATAATATTAATTCTTCCAATCTATAAACACAGGATATCTTTCCATTTGTGTCTTCCTCAATTTCTTTCATCAGTGTTTAATAGTTTTCAGTATACAGACCTTTCACCTCCTTGGTTAAATTTATTTCTAAGTATTTTTTGTAGCTACTGTAAATGGGATCTTTAAAATTTTTTATTTTGGTTAGGTTGCCATTAGTGTATAGAAATGCTAGCTTTTGTATGTTGATTTTTGTATGTTGTTTTGTATTCTGCAACTGTACTGAAATTGTTTTTTATTTCTAACAGTTTTGATTTTTGGTGAGTTTTTTAGGGTTTTCTATATATAGGATTATGTCATCTACAAACAGGGACAATTTAACTTCTTCCTTTCTAATTTGGATGTCTTTTATTTCTTTCTCTTGCCTAATTGCTCTGGCTAGGACTTCCAGTACTATGTTAAATAGAAGTGGCAAGAGTGGATATCCTTGTCTTATTCCTGATCTTAAAAGGAAAGCTTTCAATTTTTTTCCCCACTGAGTATGATGTTAGATGTGGGTTTGTCCTATAAAGGCCTCTATTGTGTTAAGGTACATTCCTTCTATACCTAATTTTTGAGAGTTTTTAATCATGAAGGAATGTTAAATTTTGTCAAATGCTTTCTCTGCATCTATTGAGATGATGAGATGGTTTTTGTCTTTCATTCTGTTAATACGGTGGATCACACATTTACAGATTTGTATAAGTTGAACCATCTTTGTATCCCTGTGATAAATCCTGCTTGATCATGGTAAATAATTGTTTAAATGTGCTGTTGAATTCAATTCGCTAGTATTTTGTTGAGTATATTTGCATACATGTTCATCAGGGATATTGGTTTGTAATTTTTTTTTCTTTGTAGTGCTCTCCTCAGGCAATGGGTTCACGGTAATGCTGGCCTTGTGAAATGTGTTTGGGAGTATTTCCTCTACTTCAGTTTTTTGAAAGAGATCGAGAAGAACTGGTATTTCCTCTTTAAATGTTTCATCAAATTCAGCAGTGAAGTTGTCAGGTCCTAGGCTTTTCTCTGATGGTAGATTTATCACTGATTTAATCTCCTTACTTGTTTTTGCTCTGTTCAGAGTTTCTGATTCTGTCTTGCAAGTTGCATGTGTCTAGGAATTTATCCAGTTTTTAGGTTATCCAATTTGTTGGCATATAATTGTTCATAGTAGTTTTTAAATAATCCTTTGTATTTCTGTGGTAACAGTCGTTACCTCTTCAATTCATTTCTGATTACATTTCTGATTTTATTTGAGTCTTTGCATTTTTTTTCTTAATCAGTCTAGCTAAAGGTTTGTAAATTTTATTTACCTTTAAAAAAAATTCTTAGTTTGGTTGGTCTCTTTATTTTTTCTATCTTCTGTTTACTTCTTCTGATCTTTATCATTTCCGTCTTCCTACTAACTTTGTAACTAGCTTAGTTGATTGTTTTTCCAGTCCTTGAGGTGTAATGGATGCTAGGTAGTCTATTTGTGATCTTTCATCTTTTTTGATGAAAACTCTCTTAGAACTGCTCTTGTATCCTGTAAGTTTTGGTATATTGTATTTCCATTTTCATTTGTCCCAAAGTAATTTTTCAATTTCCCTTATGATTTCTTCTTTGACCCATTGGTTGTTCAGGAGCATGTTGTTTAATTTCCACATAGTTGTGAATTTTCAAAAATTCCTCCTGTTGTTGATTTCTTGTTTCATGCCATTGTGGCCAGAAAGGATACTTGATATGATTTCAGTCTTCTCAAATTTGTTAAGACTCATGTTGTGGCCTTATCTATGGCCTGTCCTGGAGAGTGTTTCATGTGCACCTGACCAGAATGTGTATTCTGGCTAGGACTTCCAGCACCATGTTAAATAGAAGTGACATTCTACTGTTGTTGGGTGGAATATTCTGTATATGTCTGTTAGGTCCATTTAGTCTAACGTATATATCAAGTCCAATATTTTCTATTGATTTTCTCTCTGGATGATCTGTTCATAGTTGAAAGTGGGGGACTGAAGTCCCCTCATATTATTCTATTGCAGTCTATCTCTTTCTTTAGATCTATGAATATTTGCTTTCTATATTTAGGTGCTCTAATGTTGGGTGCATATAAATTGATAATTGTTATATCCTGTTGATGAATTGACCTTTTTATCATAATATAAAGACCCCTTTCTCTCTTTTCACAATTTTTGACTTTAAGTCTACTTTATCTGATATAAGTATATCTGCTCTCTTTTCATTTCCATTTGCACAGAATGTCTTTTCCCATCTCTTCACTTTCAATCTGTGTGTCCTTAAAGGTGAGGTGAATTTCTTGTAGGCAGCATACAGTTGGGTCTTTTTTGGGATATATTTTTAATAATCCAGTTAGCCATTCTATATCTTTGTATTGAAGAATTTAATCCATTTACATGACGGCAATTATTGGCAGTTAAGGACATAGTATTGACATTTTGTTAAGTATTTTCTGGTTGTTTTTTAGGGTTTTTTGTTCCTTTCTTCCTCTCTTGCTGTTTTGATTGGTGATTCAATTATTTTCTGTGGTAGTATGCTGTTATTTGTTTCTCTTTATCTTTTGTGGATTTACTATAGGTTTTTGTCTCGTGGTTATCGTGAGGTTTACCTAAAACATTTTATAATTATATAATTATAACCGGCTATTTTAAACTTATAACAACTTAAATTTCAATCCCTGTTTATGTATTTCATATGTAGTCACATAACCATACCATATAAGTGAATAGCAAAAAACCAGAAATGTATTACAGAAAGGTGGCAAGGGGCAAGGCCATATTAAAGAGAAGAAATAAAAATAGATATAGCTGAGAAATGAAGATGAAGATGGCACACAGGACAGAAAGAACAGTGATGGTATAGAAATCTTTCAGTGTGTATTGTGGGACATACCTATTTAATTGGTGGGTGTGTGTGTGTATGTTTGTAAAATGCGTATTGATGGAAATAGTGTTGGGAAAGCCTAGACATTTGCAGATATATTGAGGAGAGGATTAACTCCAGGCGGGTGGCTTATGTAATCGAAGCAACATTTTAGGAAGAGGATTTTAGTTGTGAAGTTTAAAGAGGTTGGAATTGGAGAGAAAGCGAAATAAATTATTAAAAAAATTAAGGATCCAGGTTCATCCTCATTTATTCTGTCAGGTCCTGAGGTCAACAGCATGAGTCTTTCTTCATCATCAGCGCCTAATTCAAAATACACTCTAAATAAATGTTGTAGAATGGATGAAAGAACAGACAAATGAGAAAAGAATATTCTGGAGAGGTTGTATAAGAAGGCTCTACAGTATCTATAAAAACCCTAAGTATAAAGATTTGAGGGAGGAGAAGTCAAGGGCAATTGGGAGTTTTGAACCTGGGTGGCAGACACAAAAGAGATTCTGAATTAATGTCTGATAAATAGAAGAACTATTCCACTTATTCAGAGGTTCAAATGTAGATAGTAATGGATGTTGGGGTTTTTGGTTCTTTCTTCATTGGGCATGTACAGGTTGGGCTTGGCAATTATTTCACTAACACTCCAAGTAAAGGACTGTAAAAGGTAAAGAAAACCAAGAGAACGCAGGCTGCATTACAGAGGGTTGGAGCAGACATCCATTCCCCATACTCTGGGCCCAAAATAAGGTTATTTTAGTGGTGATGGGAAGAGCTTTTTGCTAATTGAGACTGAGATTTATGTGGAGATTTAGCCTCAAAAATAAGAAAGGCTGGTATCTGACACTGGAGATGACAGACAGAGAGAAAGCCAGAGTCAGGGAATGAAACATTTGGCATAAACTAAATCCTTAGAAAAAAGTCTCACAGGCAGATCAGGAATACGGTGTATGTGGCAGCAGGCAGTTAACTGTGGTTATTTCCATCTGCCTTGGGCCTCACCTTTGCAGTACTCTGTCTACTGTGTAATGTGATAACATCCAGGGAAAATTCCTCTGGATAACCTACTAAATTACAAACAGAAGAAATGAGGACATTTTTCAAGGTCACACATGAAACCTGGTAGATTTTTTTTCTGTAAGTGCACAGTGAGCTGGAGATTGACCTAATCATGCAATAAATGCTCAGCAGAAAATGCTGTAAAGCAATTCCTTCCTCATCAGTCCTCAGAATCTGGTGAGGGTGAGCTAGAAGGGAAGGGCAGGAAGGTCATGATCCACACTGAGCTGAGCAGTGGGACTGTCTCTGCATTTCACCTCAGGGAAAAGTCTGCTTCACTTTGAGCCTATGCCTTAGAGACACCAAGGAACTGGAAATGGAGTTTCCTTGATTGCTTGGGACTTTGGTGTGCAGTCTCGAGGCTTGAGAAAAAAGAACATTTTCATATTTGGCTCTGCCGTCAGTCTGGTAAGTGGGGTACTCTATTGGCTCATCTTCTGGCTGCCCACAGAGGCCCAGACCCCAGCTGTCAGCCTCTGAACTCCGCCACTTTTGCTCCAGACCCAGAAGAGTGGACTCATTTTCAACACTGAGGCCACAACTCAAATGTCACTGTCTCAGAGAGCCCTTCTTTGACCTCTCCAGCTGAATCAATGTCCTGTCTCTCTCTCCATCTTTTAAATAAAATTTTTAATAAATTGGAAAACATATTAAATTATTGTTTTATTTTCTATCTCTCCCCTAGAATATAAGCTTCTTGAAAAGCTGACAATCTAGATCCCCCAGTTTATACCCAGTGTCTACAGTTATGATAATACTTTTCTTGTATTTTCCTGTTCAGAAATCAGTGACATGCAGAGGGAAAGCTTTCTTCTGTGTGTTTTCTTTCACAGGGTAAGTTCAAAAAGAATTCTTAAACCAAGATAAGATGGCAAGCTGTGAGCCTTTCTGGTTTTCTGGAATGAGCAAGATAATTAGCCACAGGTGAAAATAAGCAAGATTCGTCTACCCATGAAGATTTTGCAAAGTTATTTCCACTTTGTAATCATAAAGTATGCCCTTTTGAGCTCTTACTGGTTTGATGAAAAGGCAATTGGCATGACAAATTTGTAATAAGTAGAAGTCATCAGCTTTTCCCAGTGGCCTGTCATGATCCTATAGTGGTTAGTATTCTGCCTTGTGGCTGCAACATCTGTGGGAATCTGAATATGACAGTCTGAAGTCGACTGCTTTTTTAATTAATCCCAGAAACTAATTCTAAGGCTTTAATGCGGAGCTAGGTTTTGTGTTATTTAGAACATATATAAAGAAAACCTTCTTTGACTCCTTTCTAGGCACTGATTATCAAACCAGACAAGAATGAGAAAGCATGAATTTTTACAATCCATTATCCTTCAGCTTCCCTTTTCTTTCCATCTCCACTCAAGGTGGTATCCACAGTTACATTTAAAAATGAGGAGCTATCAAGATGCCTTGCTCAAAGGTATTTGCAAAGTCTCAGAAGAATAAAACAACAGGTTTTGAAGGTGAATTAACAATGATTTTGTTTTCTGAGAGTGTGCATAGGATTGAATTCCAGGAGTAAAGCTGCGAGAGAGGCCAGCTTTTTAGGAAGGGCTTTGAATGTCAGGATAAAATGTTTAAGCACTGTAAGCAAAGTTTGCTGGTAAATGAATTTAGGAGAGACTGTAACTGAATTTGCATTTCAGTACCATTCCAATAGGGCACAGAGTTGAGAATTGAGTGCAAAGATCATGAGGAAGGTCAGGGTATTACCATAATGGTCTAGGCAGAGAAAGTATACATCTTTAATAGGGCAAGACAATGGAGTTAGACACCTTCATTCATTCAACAAATCTTTATGTGGGGGCATATGGCATGCCCCTAGGCTCTGGGGATGCTGAGTGCCTGTCTGAGGATTCAGCCACTGAATGGTTGCTAGATGGCATTGACCCATGGGTCACGAGTATGAGGCGCTTTAAAAATTTAATCTCATGTGGAATTACATGGGGAGATTCCAAGGAACCACTTGCGCTGGTGCGTCCGCGGCCGTCGCGAGGCGTCCGTCCTTCCCCGAGGGCGAGCTCCGGGCAGGCAGGGACTCGCCACCCGCAGCCCTGGAGCCGGGCCGTGAGCGCCTGCGCGGCGCTGGGTCGCTGTCCAGGAGATGTCTGCGCGGGAGACCCAGCTAAGCCTTGTGCGGCTACCTCCTCCTGGCTGATCCCAACCCGGTCCCCCAGCCACTCGATAGAAACACGATTCACATCGTCCCCGTTCCTGAGTGAAGGTCTCGTCTCCCACGACCTGCTTCGCCTCGCTCGTGATGATTTCCTACACTTGACTAGGGTTCCCGGTGCATTCGGCCCTCCCTCCTTAAGCTTCTGTCCTCTATCCGTTATGAAATCGTGTAACTTGTTTGGTGTGAACTGAGACAGCTGAACTTCGGAAGAAATTAGGCAGGATTCCCTGAAAAATGTGTGTGTGTGAGTGTGTGATTATATATATATAACTGCTCCTTGCGGAGCAGGGCTAATCAGGTAGCGTGCCCAGAGTAATCAAAATTTTTGTTAATTCTCAGGAGGGAGCATTAAAACAAAGAGCCAAAAGTTCTAAAACGGGGGACTTTTCACTCGAAATGGGCTGATGCAGAAGATACCATTAGTCAATTTGTACCAGATTCTTGATTTATTCCCTTGTAAATCTTTTCCAGCCTTCTTCACCTTCCTCCACCCAATCTTTCTCAGGTGTGTTATGATCCAACAAGGGTAATAATGCAAGTTTTATGAAGATCTCCTTATAAAGAAAAGGTTTCGGAAATACTGCTTTCTGTTTACTTTTTGATATGTGGATGATAAACAACACCCCATCTTTCCAGAACACAAGGAGGGGGCGACTTCAAGCTAGCAGTTGAATCAGGAATCTTCTGATACATTATGCTTTGCATCATTGGCTCTGCTTAAGTCAACATGGTTTTTCAAAAAAATTGTTTTGTGTTAAATTTTATTTGTAAAACTTTCTACCAAATAAAGATGTGCAGATTAAATAAAATTTCTAAATGTGGTTGATAGCACTTGGCCTCCCTGCCATTTGTCTGCTCTCAGCTTTCCAGCTGAAAAAATGAAAAGATTCATGGTCTTCTTGAAGTGTCATTAGTTCAATTTCCTGCCAGCCTCGGGTCCTTGACCTCAGTGGTGAGGAACGTGAAAGCAGCAGATGATGGAGATTTTAGGATTTTGTTGCTTGAAAAGGAAACCAGGTGTCAGGGACCGGTATGAACAAATGAAATAACAGAAACACTGGCAAATCCTATCAGGCTACTCATTCTCAAGAGTAGTGTTCCTTTCTGTACTTTTAGTGTACAGAGTATTCATCTCAATTGTGACTTTTATCAGAATTGTAAACAGCTGTTTGCTCAACTGTCTTCCCTACTCCATTGTAATATTCCTTGAGGGCAGCACATTCAGTGTCTACAAAAACTAATTTTACCTTAAAATTCTGCACACATGCATGTAGGGTTGAGTGAGAAAAAATGCTTGCAAGAATCAGGAAAAAGTTTTAACTTGTAAAACAGGTAGGCTCACAGGTGTATGATCCTATGCTATTCCAACCCATATGTTTAAATGAGAAAACAGCGGACTGCTATATACAAAAGTGGTTTTCTGGGTTCTCGGATATAATAACTTTGCGGCTCACAATGGCTCTTATATCCTTAAGGCAGGAGAGAGTTGGGGCTGGGCATGTGTCAATTAAATCTAAAGCCACTGACAGACCATAGGGCTAGGCTGGAGCCAGTGGCTGAGAAGTTGGCCTCCTAAGTGAGGAGAATGTCTAATTTGCTGACAGGAAAGCAAAAGCTCAGTGAACCAAGTGCACGCCAGACAGACATTTTTCATACCTTTTATATGGCTGGTTTGAGTTAATGCCAGTGATTAGGATTTAGAACACATAACCCACCAAACTTCTTTATGAAATATTTAGCACAAAGATCTCTACATTACTGGAAAAAACTCAGGAAACTCTTAGCAATAGCTCCACAACATTAAAAACACTCAACTGGCTTTTAAAAAGTAAATTTATTACCACACATAATAAGTCCAGAGAGTAGAGAGATTCCATCATGTCATCAAGACCCATGATAAATCTTTAAATATTTTGATTTTTTTGAACTTTACACTCTGTTACTCTCAATATATGGGTCTCATACTTTGGCCGGTTCCTCTGCAGTGCCTCAAACTCTGTCCCCTGAGCAGAAAGCCGGGGCTGTATTTACCCAAGTGGCTCTGCGCTGCACTTTTCATAATTGTCTCACATTTAGGACAAAGCTGCAGGTAGAAACAGGGAGAAAAGAGCAGTTGTATATGTCCCTTGGTTTCACAGCTCCTCAAAGAAACAGAGAATTAATTACATGGTAGATCTACACTATACTGAATGCCAAGAGGGAGCCATCACCAGCCCTCTATTATTGCTGCTCCTACGTCTTGAACCAAAGCAGCATCCTGTTCTCAGACACTAACTTGGGTTTGGAGACCTGAGTGTTTGGAGACACGATGTCTAAATAATAAAGCTTGGAGAATGTGGGCATCGATCCCACTACCTCTTGCGTGCTAAGCAAGCGCTCTACCACTTGAGCTAATTCCCCACATCAGGGCAGCATTATTTATTGTTAGCAGGTGGCCTGGAACACAGGTGATTTCAGGGCCTTCAGCAGGAAAGCAGGGCTCTAAGAGCAGATCTTCTCATTGATGGGCCAGGGCAAACAGCAGTGGCTACTCATTGTCTGCAAAGAAGGAGGAGAAAAGGGAACAAGGAGAAAGTCACAACGGGAAAACTTCACGCTGCCAAAATGCCAAGTTTAGAGTATTCCGGGACAGAAAAGGGCACGTCCTAGCAAAGGAGGACCTGCCTAGACATGCCCAGGTAAAGCATCACAGATTTTTAAAAAATGATTAAATACTTAAAAATGATTAAATGATTTTGTGTGTGTGTGTGTGTGTGTGTGTGTGTGTGTGTGTGTTTATAAAAGTGGGACCAGAAACAATTGTAACTGTCTTGCTGCTTTTTTTCCTCTTGTGGCCCAGTCATCTAGCTTTTCCCTTCTTCAGAGATCTTAGTCACTCTTCTTTTCCGCAGTCTCCTTTGTTGATAAGAAACAGAGGCGGTGCTCAATTCATGATAGTTCACTGAGTGACCAACTGAATGAAGGAAGGAAGAAATAGCCTTCCAAGGTGTCTCCCATTCATACTACTCTTACTGTGTATCTACACTTGCATCTCTATGACTGGAGACATTCACTCAACAAAAAACATAAACTGAACTTATAATCATATCCTCCCTGTTTTTTCCCCAATTTTTTGTGCCATGAATTATACTAGGAGACTTAGGGAGTTTACTTGATGTAGTCTGACTGAATTTTGCCAAAAAAACTGTCTTAGTCTGCACTTTATGCACTTTTTAGAAGTAATAGAGGCTCAGATAAGTTAAGTGTTCCTAAGGTGCCAAAGCTGCTAAGTGGGAAAGCCTGAACTAAGAAGCAGATATTTTTAGATTTTAAATGTGATTTTTTCCCTCTGTACCAGCTCAGTTATTCTGCCCGTTCTTTTGCACTTTAGCTCACTCATTCATACAACAAATATCTAATTCCAAACCTCTTCCTTACTTACTTTTTGGGCTTAACTTTTTTTTTTTTTTTTTTTTCGACAGAGTGTCACTCTGTCGCCCAGGCTGCAGTGCAATGGTAAGATCTTGGCTCACTGCAACCTCTGCCTCCCGGGTTCTAGTAATTCTCCTGTCTCAGCCTCCAGAGTAGCTGGGACTACAGGTGCCTGCCACCACGCTTGGTTAATTTTTGTATTTTTAGTAGAGACGGGGTTTCACCATGTTGGCCAGGCTGGTCTCAACCTCCTGACGTCACGTGATCAGCCTACCTTGGCCTTCCAAAGTGCTGGGATTACAGGCATGAGCCACCCCTCCTGGCCTGGGTTTAACTATTTTATTTTATGACAGGGTCTCACTTTGTTGTCCAGGTACCGGTGCGTTCTCTGTTCACTGCAACCTCCACCTCCTGAGTTCAAGCGATCCTCCCACCTCAGCCTCCTGAGTAGCTGGAACTACAGATGCATACCACCACACCCGGCTAATTTTTGTATTTGTTGTAGAGACAGGTTTTCACTGTGTTGCCTAGGCTGGTCTCAAACTCCTGGTGTCAAGGGATCCACTGATCTCGGCCTCCCAAAGTGCTGGGATTACAGAAATGAGCCACCACGTCTGGCCCTGGGCTTACCTTTCAAGTCAACTTTGATTCATTGTCTTCCTTGAAACACCACATTCAGTGATTAGTCAAATAATGAACATTATTCTTGCACAACTCTTTTGAATCTATCAATTACTTTCTACTCATTTAGTACATATTCACTGGGGAGATGCTCTGTGCCAGACACTGTAGTAAGATCAGGTAATTCAGAGGAAGTATAGACACCCCAGACCTCAAACGAAGACAAGATAAATATGGACAAGGGAAGATCCACCTCCACATTCACCATTTTCAGTCTTTCTGTCATTTCCAGCTAAATAACGTCTTCAAAAATGTTTCAAAATAACTAAGTCACTATTTCAAACTCTTTCAATAATAGCACCCTTCTATACACTGGACTACTCTTAATTTTCTCATTATAACATGATCTTGCTTTTCTTTTAATTTTTGTCTTTGCTTTCTACCTGAATTTTTATTTTGCATTATGAAATTGATAGGTCCATTACTGGATGGCATGGTTCAATTCTCCAGTATGTCTGTTGATTTGTGTTCCACTAAATCTTCCAATTACTCAGAGAGGAGTGTTAATGACTGCAACTATAACTGGATTTTTCTATTTTTACTTGGCGTATCCAATTTTGTTTATGAGTTTTGAAGCTCTGTGTCCTCATATACATTTGGGACAATATTCTCCTGAAAAATTGACAATCATAATTATTTAGGAGGCCTCATTATTCCTGAAAAGTTTCTCTGCTTTCAAATCTACTTTGTCTGATTTTATATATATACACCACAGCTGTCTTTGATTAATGCTTGCATGAGGTATCTTTTCCCACTCTTTTCTTTCAATCTGCTCTATAACTTTTATTCTTATTTATAAGTGTATTGCAGGTGGCTTTCTTTAGTCAGCATATTTATTTTTAACACATTCTGATGATCTCTAGTTTTTACTTAATGCATTTAGATAATTTACATATAATGTTATTATAGATAAGTTTTTAGATAGATCTACTATTTAATAATTTATTAACCTTTTTTCCCTTTGTTTTAATTCTTCTATGTTCCTCTGTCTATCTTGTTTTGGTTTATTTCAATCTGGTTGTTAAGTGGTCTAGGGATTACCATATACATATATAACTTTTCACAGTATACTAAGAATCAATATTTTACCATTCAAGTTGAATATAGAAACTTCATCAAGAGTTAGTCCCATTACATTTACCCTTTTATCTTATGTATGTAGTACATCTAGATACAATGACAACTGCATCAGATAAAGTTACAATTTTTGCTTTCAACCATCAAACATACCTTAAGGAACTCAAGAGAAGAATAATAGTCTGTTATGTCTACCCAGACATTTTCTATTTCTGCTTTTGTTCCTTCATTGATGATGTTCTAAGTTTCCTTCTGGTATCACTTTTCTTATCTCAAACCTTTGCTAATTCTTTTCCAGCAGTTTTGCTAGGACTGAGAATGTATTTATTTACCTTCCAATGAGAATGCATTTATTTGCCTTTATGTCTGGAAGATACTTTTGCTCCACATACCATTCTGGGTTGATAATGTATTTTTCCTTTGGTATTTACTGAATGTTATGACATTTTTTTCTGGCTCCTGGGTTCCCGATGAGAAATCTACAATCATTCATTTGGTATTTTATCTTTCATTTCCCTTTGGCTGCTTTCAAAATTGTTTTGTGTTTTCTTAATTTTCCGCAGTTTGATTATGATATGTCTTGCAATGGGTTTCTTTTGGTTTATCCTGCTTGACATTTACTGAACTTTAAAAATCTGGTTTATATCTTTTGAGAAATTTGATACATTTTCAGCCATTAATTCTTCACAGTTTTATCCCACAAAGACCTCTTTGTCCTCTTACAATAATGTGAATGTTTCCAGATTACAATAATGTGAATGTTAGATTTGTTATTTTTTATTTGTCCCTGAGCCTCTGTTCAGGGACAATAAAATCCTCCTTTCTTTCTATAGGTCAGATTCTGTAGGTATTCTTGTTCCGTTTTCAAGTTCATTGACTTTTTCCTTAGTCTTCTGCATACTGCTATTGAGATCATCCAATTAAGCTTTTTATTTCCCCTAATAGTTTTGGTTAATACTTTTTTTAATTCTTAAGTTTAAATTGGTGTTTACATATTCCAAATATTTGGTGAGACTTTCCAACTTTCCATTCACTTCATGAATGCTATCCCGTAATTCTAGGAGCATTGTTATAATAACTGCTTTAATGTATGTGTCAGATGATTTTGACATATGTGTCCTCTCAATATTGTTATGCAAGGATTCTCTTTGCCATGTGAATTAAGATCTCCCTGGTTTTTCATAATGCTGAATATTTTGGGGCTTGTAACCTGGACTTCTTTGGATTATGTGATGAGACACTGTGTCTTGTTGAAATCTTAAGGATAATATTGCTCTTTTTGTTTTTGCAGGCACACAATTGCCTTGTATTTAAGCTCCAAGTACCAACCAGACTTCCATGTGTTGTTGTTTCACAGATAACTCTATTTGAAAGCCTTGACACTGCGGATGAGAGATCTCTGGAGTGTGTGCAACCAGTGGTCAGTGAGGACTGGAAAGCGGACCATTGTTTAGTTCAGTCCTCAGGCTCTTTTTAGGTAAGTTGTTTGGGATTAGACCCACTTATTCACAGCTGGCAGGTGCGTCCACAAGCTCATGAACAACTTTATGGGTTTGCTTTCTACAGTATCTGTCCAGGCACATTCTAGTTACTTGACACATCCTGGTTTCAGTCCTCTCACCAGAAAGCCAGGGCTGTATTTACCCAGGTGGCTCTGCCCTGCACTTTTCACAGTTGCCTCACATTCAAGCTACAGGCAGAAACAGGGAGAAAAGAGCAATTGTTTATGTCCCTTGGTTTCACAGCTCCTCAAAGAAGCAGAAAATTAATTACACGGTAGATCTACACTATACTGAATGCCAGGAGGGAGCCGTCACCAGCCCTGTATTGTTGCTGCTCCTACATCTTGAACCAAAGCAGCATCCTGTTCTCTGACTTGGGTTTGGAGACCTGAGTGTTTGGAGACCCAGGGTCTAAATAATAAAGTTTGGAGAATGTGGGCATCGATCCCACTACCTCTTGCATGCTAAGCAAGCGCTCTACCACTTGAGCTAATTCCCCCACATCAGGGGAGCTTTATTGATCCTTAGTGGGTGGCCTGGAACACAGGGGATTTCAGGGCCTTCAGCGGGAAAGCAGGGCTCTACTAAGAGCAGATCTTCTCACTGATGGCCCAGGGCAAGGTGCAGTGGCTACTCATTCTCTGCAAAGAAGGAAGAGGAAAGGGAACAAGGAGAAAGTCAAAAAGGGAAAACTCACACTGCCAAAATGTCAAGTTTAGGGTATTCCGGGACAGAAAAAGGCACATTCCAGGAAAGGAGGCCCTGCCTAGACCTGCCCATCTAAAGTGTCACTGATTTTTAAAAAATGATTAAATAATTAAAAATGATTAAATGATTTTGTGTGTGTGTGTTGTGTGTGTGTGTTTATAAAAGTGAGATAGTATTATCACTTGTTCCTTGTAGCTGAGACTCTCTGGGGATTTTGAGATGGTACAGATTTCTGGAAGGCAAAAAGCTCCTGTTGTTTTCATAACTAGGCCCTTTCAGGAATGAAGCCAGCGTGCTGACCACTACCTTAGGAAACCCCTGGGGAGTGCTTCTTTCACTTGCATCTGAGATATAGGTTGCCTCCTTGCTAAGGTGTGTCATGTACAAGTTACATGTCCAACTATATCTCAGAACAACAACAACAAAATTACAGAGCAGAGCCATAAAGAATAAGAGACAAGATCATATCAGAGTGTAAGAATATGTAAAATATTAGAGTGTAAGAATCAAAATTCAGCTATGCAGAGAAGGAGTGGACATATGGTGGAGAAAACCGGGCTGTTCGTAGGAATTCCTGTGTGAAGAAATAAACCTGTTCAATTTAAGTGCTGTGTGTGTGTGTGTGTGTGTGTGTGTGTGTGTGAAATACACACGGAGGGAAGCAGTGATTGAAAAGCCTGGCCACTTGGAGATATGTTGGTAGAGTTTTATGAAAACTCCCAAGAGTAATTGAAAAAATCCCAGGCAGAATGCTTAAATAATTAAAGCAACATGTTAGAGAAAGGTGTTTAGTTTTGAATGTCAGAGCTTGAACATGAGAAAATAGAAATTGAAGAGAAAGAGAAAGAAGTCATAAAGATATTAAAGGATTGAGATTTACCCGCATTTATCGTGTCAGCTCCCGAGGTGGACAACAGGAGTCTTTCTGCAGCGTCAGTGCCCATCACACTTCCTGCTGCAGAATACATCCTCCATAAACACCATAGCATGGATGATGACAGAGGTGAATGAAAAGAAAGAAAAACATTCTGGTGATGCTGTGCAGGAAGGATCTACAGTATTTGTCAAGACATTGGGTGGAGAGATTTGAGGGAGAGGAGACAAAGACACTGGGAAGTCTTGAGCCTAGTGTGGTAGACACAAAAGAGATTCTGAATTAATAGCTGATGAATGAATCCACTCATTTATTTGTATTTGTTATGTGAATGAATGTTACATGAATGACCTGGCATGGAGAAAACAGATGGTGAGACTATGTGCTAGGGTAAAGCAAGAGCTCAAGTTTTTTTTTTTTTTTTAATTTAGAAAAAAATCTGCTTTTCATATCTGGTTTTCCTATTTAAAGCTATGTGATTTGAGGAAAATGGTTTAACTCCTCTGAGCTTTAGTGTCATCTACAAAATTTGGATAATGATACTGAGGGAAGCTGAAAAGCCGTATCAACCAACTTATACAAAAAATAATAAACATTCACTTCCATTTCTAATGCATGGTGCTGAAAAAGTCCTTGTATGTGGAATATTGTTCACCTTTAAGGAACCTGCTCTCAAGAGCTGATGAGGGACTTTTTTTAGTGCAGTTCTGTTGTCACTGGCTGTTGGGCTCATTTAGTTGGCACCAACAAATCTCTGTGAACATAAAAATAAAATAAAATAAAGATTGTGGAGGAATAGAATACAAACACACAGTAAGGTGAGATTTGCACAACAGAGTAAAGGATGTGTGCCTGATTCTTTTTGCATTCTCTTTGAATCATTTTTAGCCTTTATTCTAAGTCCCCAATTATTGTCATCCTTCTCCCAACAAGATCGTTTCTCTCCACCGCAGATATTCTGGCCAGGCTCTCTGGTTAACCATCTTGATGTCCTGAGCACTCTGTTTGTACTGAGACTCTGATTTATGTTCAAATGATGCTCTTCCATAGCAAGGCTTCCTGCTTTGCCCAAAGAGCATTCAATTTTTCAAGCAATTTAGGGCTCCTTCCTCACCCAGTATCTATGTGAAACCTTAAAGGGAAGCCTATTCTTTCCAGGAAGATAATCCTGTTGTGGTTTTAACCTCAATCTGTAAATTCGCTGGGGTAACTGGGAAAGAAGTCATAAAGATATTAAAGGATTGAGGTTTATCCACATTTACTGTGTCAGCTCCTGAGGTGAACAGCATGAGTCTTGCTGCAGCTTCAGCCCCCATCACACTTCATAGGTGAAGAAAACATCCTCCATAAACACTGTAGCATGGATAACAGAAGGAAAAGATTCTGGAGAGGTTATGCAGGAAGAATCTACAGTATTTGTCAAGACATTGGGTGGAGAGATTTGAGGGAGAGGAGACAAAGGCACTGGCAAGTCTTGAGCACAGTGTAGCAGACACAGAAGCGATTTTGAATTAGTATCTGATGAAAGCAAGAATAAATCCACTCATTTATCTGTATTTGGTAAATGAATGAATGTTACATGAGTGAGCTGGTGTGAAGAAAACAGATGATGAGACTATGTGCTAAGTGAAAGCAAGAGCTCATGATTTTTTCATTTAGAAAGAAATCTGCTTCCCATATCTGGTTTCCCTCTTTAAAGTTATGTGATCTGAGGAAAATGGTTTAACTGCTCTGAGCTTCAGTGTCATCTATAGTACTGTGGTAATAATACTTGGGGAAGCTGAGAAACTATATCGACCAACTTACATAAAAATTAATAAACAGTCAGCATAGTTTCTAGCACATAGTGCTGAAAAAGTCCTTGAACGTGGAGTATTGTTCACCTTTAAGGAAAATGTTCTGAAGGTCTAAGGAGAGAGATCAGTGCAGCTTTGTTGCCATTGGCTGATTTGCTCATTTATTTTGTAGCAACAAGCTTCTGTGATGACAAAAATGAAATAAAGTTTAAAAAGTAAAATAGATGGTGGAGAAACACAATAGGGATGTATAGTAAGGTACGATTTTCTAGGCAAAATGGATTTGTACAAAAGAATGTAGTAGTAAAGGATTTGTGCCTGATTCTTGTTGTATTATTTTTGAATCTCATTTAGCCTGTATTCTAATTTCCCAGTTGTTGTAATCCTACACCCAACAAGATTATTTCTTCGCACCATGAACATTCTGGTCAGATTCTCTGCTTAACCATCTTGACTTCCTGAGCACTCATGTTTTTACTGAGACCCTGATATATGCCCAAATGATGCCCTTCCATAGGAGGGCTTCCTGCTTTGCCCATAGAGCATTCAATTTTTCAAGCAATTTAGGGCTCTTTCCTCAACCAGGGTCTGTATGAAACCTTAAAGAGAAGCCTGTTCTTTCCAGGAAGAGAATTCCAGTGGGTTCTAACCTCAACCTATAAATCCACTAAGCAAGCTCCTACTGAACACCTATGATGCAAGCTCAATCCAAGAGGCCAGCACTCCACAGGGGGAAGGCAACCGAAGCAGTAGCTAATGCTTACTGAGCAGTTCTTATTGATCAGGTCCATCTCTAGGTGCTGTGATCCACCCAAAAATATCCCACAATCCTTATTTCCCATGTAAAGAAAGAAGATTGAAAGAAAGGGAAGCTAAATGATAGCTTCAAAGTGACAACTTCCCTGATTCTTCTACTGAAAACTGAATGTGTCACCTCCACACTGCCGAGTCCTTTACTGCCTAATGAGTCCCTCCCAGTAGATATTATCACATGACTTCTTGTTTATTTTTCTTCTTTGCTTCCTGTCTGTTTCTCCCCACTCCTTGCAACTATGACGTAGTATCACAAAGGTGAGAATATCTGTGTTTTATTCACTGTGAATTACTGTACCCAAAACAGTCTCTTAACAAGGTATGCGCTTGAGAAATATTTGTTGGATGATTAAAAGAATAAAAGAGTTCACCCACCCCACCTGATAATTATGTTTGGATGACCTTCAGAGCAGACAATTGGAAGAGAAATTTCCCCTGCTTCCCTTGTCAGCTAGAGAGGTAGACATATGACATAGCTTGTAGTTTCTTGTGTAATTTATATCTCTTCACCACGCCTTGTATTCAAACCACTAAGAAGCCAAAAGAAGGAAAAAGAGAAAAAGAAAGAAAGAAAGAAAGAAAGAAAGAAAGAAAGAAAGAAGAAAGGAAGAAAGAAAGAAAGAAAGAAAGAAAGAAAGAAAGAAAGAAAGAAAAAAGAAAAGCTCATTTTTAAATTTTAAGCTAATATTTGGACTGTCTTGAAATCATTATCTCATAGCATTTGTGTTACATTATTTATCACACCTATTTCATTTCCCTTAACGGAAAGAGCGGCAAAAGCTGTACCTTGTCTGATGTTCAAACTCAGGACCTTCAGAATACGAGATTGACAGGTGGCCTGCTGCTCTAAGAGAGCAACTGTTCCTAAGAGCTGAGATCCAGATTATTAAATCTCATTTCCCACACACTGCTGCTTTATCAATTCCTAGCTTTTAAAGAACACAATCAATGCTACTTGGAAATCACTGCTTATCAGCCAGTGCTGCACTGGAAGAATTCCCCACTCAGGACAGGTGGAGTCCACCCGTTTCCAGTATTCACATAATGATAGGACCTTCTGGCTTGAGGGACCAGAAACAATTGTACCTGTCTTGCTGCTTTTTTTCTCTTGTGGCCCAGTCATCTAGCTTTTCCCTTCTTCAGAGATCTTAGTCACTCTTCTTTTCCGTAGTCTCCTTTGTTGATAAGAAACAGAGGTAGTGCTCAATTCATGATAGTTCATTGAGTGACCAACTGAATGAATGAAGGAAGAAATAGCCTTCCAAGGTGTCTCCTGTTCATACTACTCTTACGGTGTATCTACACTTGCATCTCTATGACTGGAGACATTCACTCAACAAAAAACCCAAACTGAACTTATAAACATATCCTCCCTGTTTTTTCCCCAGTTTTTGTGCCATGAATTATACTAGGAGACTTAGGGAGTTTACTTGATGTAGTCTGACTGAATTTTGCCAAAAAAACTATGTCTTAGCCTGCACTTTATGCACTTTTTAGAAGTAATAGAAGCTCAGGTAAGTTAAGTGTTCTTTCTAAGGTGTCAAAGCTGCTAAGTGGGAAAGCCCAAATTGAGAAGCAGATACTTTTAGATTTTAAGTGTGATTTTTTTCCTCTGTACCAGCTCAGTTATTCTGCCTGTTCTTTTGCACTTTAGCCCATTCATTCATACACCAAATATCTAATTCCAAACCTCCTCTTTACTTACTTGCTCTGTCACCCACGCTGTACTGCACTGGTGAGATCTTGGCTCACGGCAACCTCTGTCTCCCAGGTTCAAGTAATTCTCCTGTCTCAGCCTCCTGAGTAGCTGGGACTACAGGTGCTTGCAACCACGCCCAGCTAATTTTTGTATTTTTAGTAGAGATGGGGTTTCACCATGTTGGCCAGGCTGGTCTCAAACTCCTGACCTCAGGTGATCCGCCCACCTCAGCCTCCCAAAGTGCTGTGATTACATGTGTGAGCTACCCCTCCCGGCCTGGGTTTAACTATTTTATTTTATTTTATTTTATTTTATTTTATTTTATTTTATTTTATTTTATTTTATTTTATTTTATGACAGGGTCTCACTTTGTTGTCCAGGCACCGGTGCAATCTCTGTTCACTGCAACCTCCGCCTCCCAGATTCAAGCGATCCTCCCACCTCAGCCTCCTGAGTAGCTGGAACTACAGATGCATACCACCACACCTGGCTAATTTTTGTATTTTTTGTAGAGACAGGGTTTCACTGTGTTGTCCAGGCTGGTCTCAAACTCCTGGTGTCACGGGATCTGCCCATCTCGGCCTCTCAAAGTGCTGGGATTACAGAAAAGAGTCTGGACTTGGGCTTACCTTTCAAGTCAACTTTGACTTATTGTCTTCCTTCAAACACTACATTCAAGGATTTGTCAAATAATGAACATTATTCTTGCCCAGTTCTTTTGAATCTATAAATTACTTTCTACTCATTTAATACATATTCACTGGGGAGATGCTCTGTGCCAGACACTGTAGGTAATTCAGAGGAAGTATAGACACCCTAGACCTCAAAAAAAGACAAAATAAATATGGACAAGGGGAGATCCACCTCCAGATTCACCATTTTCAGTCTTTCTGTCATTTCCAGCTAAATAACTCTTTCAAAAAATGTCTCAAAATAACTAAATAACTCTTCCAATAATAGCACTCTTCTATATGCTGGACTACTCTTAATTTCCTGGTTATAACATGATCTTTACTTTTCTTTTAACTTTTGTCTTTGCCTTCTACCTAAATTTTTATTTTGCATTATGAAGTTAATAGGTCCATTACTGGATGGTATGGTTTAATTCTCCAATATGTTTGCTGATTTGTTTTCTACTAAGTCTACCAATTACCGAGAGAGGAGTGTTAGTGTCGGCAACTCTAATTGGATTTTTCTGTTTTTACCTTGCGTATCCAATTTTGTTTATGAGTTTTGAAGCTCTATGTTCTCATATACACTTGGGACAATATTCCCCTGGAAAATTGACAATCATAATTATTTAGCAGGCCTCATTATTCCTGAAAAGTTTCTCTGCTTTCAAATGTACTTTGTCTGATTTTTTTATATATACATCACAGCTGTCTTTGATTAGTGCTTGCATGAGGTATCTTTTCCCACTCTTTTCTTTCAATCTGCTCTATAACTTTTATTCTTATATATAAGTGTATAGCAGGTGGCTTTCTTTAGTCAGCATATTTATTTTTAACACATTCTGATGATCTCTAGTTTTTAATTAATGCGTTTAGATTATTTACATGTAATGTCATTATAGATAAGTTTTTAGATAGGTCTATTATTTAATAATGTATTAACCTTGTTTCCCTTTGTTTTAATTCATCTATGTTCCTCTTTCTATCTTGTTTTGGTTTATTTAAATCTTGTTAGTAGGTGGTCTAGGGTTTACCATATACATATATAACCTTTCACAGTATACTTAGAATCAATATTTTACCATTCAAGTTGAATAAAGAAACTTCATCAAGAGTTAGTCCCATTACACTTACCCTTTTATCTTCTGTATGTAGTACATCTAGATACAATGACAACTGCTTCTGATAAAGTTACAATTTTTGCTTTCAATCATCAAACATACCTTAAGGAACTCAAGGGAAGAATAATAGTCTGTTATGTCTACCCAGACATGTTCTATTTCTGCTTTTGTTCCTTCACTGATGATGTTCTAAGTTTCCTTCTGGTATCATTTTTCTTATCTCAAATCTTTGCTAATTCTTTTCCAGCAGTCTTCCTAAGAATGAGAATGTATTTACTTACCTTCCACTGAGAATGCATTTATTTGCCTTTATGTCTGGAAGATACTTTTGCTCCACATAGCATTCTGGGTCGATATGTCTTTTTCTTTTGTTACTTACCGAATGTTATGACATTTTTTCTGGCCCCTATGGTTCCTGATGCGAAATCTACAATCATTCATTTGGTAGTTTCTCTTTCATTTCCCTTTGGCTGCTTTCAAAATTGTTTTGTATTTTCTTAGTTTTCAGCAGTTTGATTATGATATGCCTTGCTATGGGTTTCTTTGGGTTTATCCTGATTGACATTTACTGAACTTTAAAAATCTGGTTTATATCTTTTGACAAATTTGAACCATTTTCAGCTATTAATTGTTCAAAGTTTTATCCCACAAAGACCACTTTGTCCTCTTCTTTCCAGATTACAATAATGTGAATGTTGGATTTGTTATTTTTTATTTGTGCCTGAGCCTCTGTTCAGAGACAATAAAATCCTCCTTTCTCTCTATAGTTCAGATTATGTAGGTATTCGTGTTCTGTTTTCAAGTTCATTGACTTTTTCCTTAGTCTTCTGCATTCGATTATGGAGATCCTCCAATTAAGCTTTTTATTTCCCCTAAGAGTTTTGGTTAATACATTTTTTTAATTCTTAAGTTTAAATTGGTGTTTATGTATTCGAAATATTTGGTGAGACTTTCCAACTTTCCATTCACTTCACGAATGTTATCCCCGATTCTAGGAGCATTGTTATAATATCTGCTTTAATGTATGTGTCAGATGATTTTGACATCTGTGTCCTCTCAATATTGTTATTCGAGGATTCTCTTTGCCATGTGAATTAAGATCTCCCTGTTTTTTCATAATGCTGAATATTGTGGGGCTTGTAACCTGGACTTCTTTGGATTATGTGATGAGACACTGTGTCTTGTTGAAATCTTAAGGATAATATTGCTATTTTTGTTTTTGCAGGCACACAATTGCCTTGTATTTAAGCTCCAAGTACCAACCAGACTTTCATGTGTTGTCGTTTCAAAGATAACTCTATTTGAAAGCCTTGACACTGCTGTTCAGAGATCTCCAAAGTGTGTGCAACCCAGTGGTCAGTGAGGACTGGAAAGTGGGCCATTGCACAGTTCAGCTCTCAGGCTCTTTTTAGGTAAGTTGTTCGGGATTAGAGCCACTTATTCACAGCTGGCAGGTGCGTCCACAAGCTCATGAACAACTTTATGGTTTTGCTTTCTACAGTATCTGTCCAGGCACATTCTAGTTACTTGACACATCTTGGTTTCAGTCCTCTCACCAGAAAGCTGGGGCTGTATTTAACCAGGTGGCTCTGTCCTCCACTTTTCACAATTGTCTCACATTTAGGACCAAGCTGCAGGCAGAAACAGGGAGAAAAGAGCAGTTTTATATGTCCTTTGGTTTCACAGCTCCTCGAAGAAACAGAAAATTAATTACACAGTAGATCTACACTATACTGAATGCCAGCAGGAAGCTGTCACCAGTCCTGTATTGTTGCTGCTCCTATGTCTTGAACCAAAGACACCGAGAGCAGTGTCTTGCTCTCAGACACTGACTCGGGTTTGGGTACCTAAATAATAAAGCTTGGAGAATGTGGGCATTGATCCCACTACCTCTTGCATGCTAAGCAAGCGCTCTACCACTTGAGCTAATTCCCCATATCAGGGAAGCTTTGTTTATCCTTAGTGGGTGGCCTGGAACACAGGTGATTTCAGGGCCTTCAGCGGGAAAGCAGGGCTCTACTAAGAGCAGATCTTCTCATTGATGGCGCAGGGCAAGGTGCAGTGGCTACTCATTCTCTGCAAAGAAGGAGGAAAAAAGGGAAGAAGGAGAAAGTCACAAAGGGAAAACTCACGCTGCCAAAATGTGAAGTTTAGGGTATTCCAGGACAGAAAAAGACACGTCCCAGCAAAGAAGACCTATCTAGACCTGCCCAGCTAAAGTGTCACTGATTTTTAAAAAATAATTAAATAATTAAAAATGATTAAATGATTGTGTGTGTATTGCATGTGTGTGTGTGTGTGTTTATAAAAGTGGGATGGCATTATCACTTGTTCCTTGTAGCTGAGACTCTCTGGGGGTTGTGAGATGGTCCAGATTTCTGGAAGGCACAAAAGGGATTCTGAATTAATATCTGATGAATGAATCCACTCATTTATTTGTATTTGTTATGTGAATGAATGTTACAGGAATCACCTGGTGTGGAGAAAACAGATGGCAAGACTATGTGCTAGGGTAAAGCAAGAGCTCACGTGTTTTTGTTTTTGGTTTTTTAATTTAGAAAAAAAATCTGCTTTTCATATCTGGTTTTCCTATTTAAAGCTATGTGATTTAAGGAAAATGGTTTAACTCCTCTGAGCTTTAGTGTCATCTACAAAATTTGGATAATGATACTGAGGGAAGCTGAAAAGCCATATCAACCAACTTATACAAAAAATAATAAACATTCACTTCCATTTCTAATGCATGGTGCTGAAAAAGTCCTTGTATGTGGAATATTGTTCACCTTTAAGGAACCTGCTCTCAAGAGCTGATGCGGGACTTTTTTTAGGGCAGTTCTGTTGTCTCTGGCTGTTTTGTTCATTTAATTGGCACCTACAAGTCTCTTTGAACATTAAAATAAAATAAAGATTGTGGAGGAATAGAATACAAACACATAGTAAGGTGAGATTTGCATAACAGAGTATAGTAAACGATTTGTGCCTGATTCTTTTTGCATTCTCTTTGAATCATTTTTAGCCTTTATTCTAAGTCCCCAATTATTGTCATCCTTTTCCCAACAAGATTGTTTCTCTCCGCCACGGACATTCTGGTCAGGGTCTCTGCTTAACCATCTTGACCTCCTGAACACTCTGTTTGTCCTGATAACCTGATTTATGCTCAAATGATGCTCTTCCATAGGACGGCTTCCTGCTTTGCCCAAAGAGCATTCAATTTTTCAAGCTGTTTAGGGCTCCTTCCTCACCCAGGGTCTATTTGAAACCTTAGAGGGAAGGCTATTCTTTCCAGGAAGAGAACCCTGCTGGGTTGTAACCTCAATCTGTAAATCCACTGGGGTAACTGGGGTTAGCTCAGTTACTCCAGAGCTTGCTCTCTGAGAACTGGATGGTGCTGCTACTTCCCATAAAGGCTGAATAAAAAGAGGCATCTGCAGGCAGGAGAAAGCGCTATGGTCATTGCTGGAAGATTCCTTCTGACCATTAGCTATCTCTCTGACCTGGTGTGAGAAGGGTGACAAAAATCGGAGACTTGAAAACAGGCCAAAAAAAAAAAAATGGATTCAAAAGAATTTTAAAAGAATCATGCACAAGTTCTTAATTAGATTCTTTTATCCAAATCCATTTTGTCTGGAAAATAATACCTTACTACGTATCTGTATTCTATTCCTCCATAATCTATTTTATTTTATTTTAATGTTCACAAGAAGCTGGATGCTAGCTACCAAATGAGCAAATCAGCCACGATAACAGAACTGCACTAAAATCTCTCATCAGATATTGATACAGTCAAGACCCTCATGAGTGCCTATGATACAAATTCAGTGTGAGAGGCCAGCTTTCCGCAAGGAGAAGGCAACCAAAGCGGTAGCTAATACTGAGCAGTTCCTATTGCCCAGATCCATTTCTAGGTGCTGAGATCCAGCCAGAGAATCCCACAGTCCTCATTTTTCATATGAAGAAACATGTGAGTGATTCACCACCCCAATCCTCATGTATCATCAGTTTTCAAACAAAGCCAAGTAGCCTCCTGTGCAAAAAGCTCTCCTAACCCCCAGTTGCCTTGATAGGTAAAAGTATTCTTATGACAGTGCTAGAAAAACACGGGCACAAGTGTTCCGGCAAGGTGACTAGAAGGCAAGGCTAAAGTTGTCAAGGTGACAAAGTCCCTGATGGTCCTCTTGAAAGCTGAACGTGCCACCTCATGTGTATATGTGTATGTGTGGATGCATATGTGTATGTTGTGTGTACACACCTACACATATATCTACAAATGCATGTGTGTATGCATGCATGTGTGTACACGTGCATGCACACATGTATCTGTATACATGTATTATGTACACAGTATGCATGTGTACATGTATGTGTCTGTGCATGTGTAGATGTATACATGCATGTACACATGCATCTACATATGCATGTGTATGCCTAAATGTGTGTACAAGTGCGTGCATATGTGCACTATACATGTGTACATGTGTTTGTACACGTGTATCTGCACATGCATACGTACATACATACATGCATGTACATGTGAACACACACGTGTATGTATACATGTATGTACACCTGTGTGCACATGCATCTACATATGTGTATAACTATATGTATGTGTGTGTACCCATGTGTACATGCATCTGCGGGTATGCATTTGTGTACACATATGTCTGCACATGCATGCCTGCAGGCATGGATGCATGTGTGTGTGTGCATGCATGTGTATCCAGGTATGTGTGTACACAGAATGTTTGTATGTTTGTGTGTTTTGTGTGTAGGTATTCGTGTATGCATAAATGTGCACATGCATGTTTGCATGCATTTGTTTACACGTGTACATGTGTGTATGCATGTGTGTATACACGTGTATACACATGTACGTTTGTGTGCACGTGTATGCACATGTATGCACGTGTACATGTATACATTGTGCTCATGTGTGCCTACATGTATGTATATATTGTACATGCATTATGTGTGTATGCACATATGTGCACGTGTGTGCATGTATGTACATGCATGTATGCACACGTTATTTATGTGTGTGCATGCATGTATTTGCATACGTGTGTGCACATGTGTGCACACATGCGTGTAGGCATGTATGTGGATGTGCACACGTATGTATGGACACGTGTATTCTTGCATGCACGTGTACATGTATGTGTGCACACAGGCATGTGTAGGGATGTATGTTGTATACGTGTATGTGTGTATACATGTATGTATGTACACAAAATCTGTTTGTATGTACACCTAGATCTGTATTAGTCAGGGTTCTCTAGAAGGACAGAACTAACAGGATAGATGTGTATATGAAGCAGAGCTCATTAAGAAGTATTGACTCACACAATCGGAAGTTGAAGTCCCACAATAGGCTGTCTGCAAGCTGAAGAGCAGGGAAGCCAGTCCGAGTCCCAAAACCTCAAAAGTAGGGAAGCTGACAGTGCAGCCTTTAGTCTGTGGCCAAAGGCTCAAGAGCCCCTGGCAAACCACTGGTGTCAAGAGTCCAAAAGCCGAAGAACTTGGAGTCCAATGTTTGAGGGCAGGGAGCATCCAGCATGGGAGAAAGATGGAGGCCAGAAGACTCAGCAAGTCTTCCTTTTCCAAACTCTTCTGAGTGTATGTATGTATACATGCATGCATGTATACATGTATGTTTTCAATATTTATACACATGGAATCATTTACGATATTATTAGATCTGGCTTCTTTGATATCAACTTTTCATTATGTTTTTAAATTCCATCTATGTTGTTGGATGACCACTTGCCTGATACTGTTCATTGCAATACAGACTTCCACGTATGAACACATCACAGTTTGTATAACCATATTGCCATTGATAGCTATTACATTATATCTATCCTTCAGTTATTACAAATGATGCCACTCTAAACATTCCTGAATGTGTATCCTGGTACACATAAGCATGCATTTTCTATGCAAAAATGAGTGGAATTGAAACCATCTTTGCAAAAATTATGAGTGAGAAAAATCTAACATAGCTGACTATCTTGCTTCTAACTTCACAAACTGTCCTTGTTCATTCCTGGGCATAGGCCAAGCTAACTATGGAGGAATTCATAGTTTAATTTTAAAACAAAGATGATAATAGCTGCTTCCCAAAAGTAACCCCTCCCTGCTAAGGGACTGAAACTACCTTTGTAAAACCAACAAATTAGGCATAAGGTTAAAATTATGGTTCAGGAATAATGTAGCTGGAAGTCACAAGATTGTAGCCTCCTCAGTTGCTCCTATAGATAACATCACTACTGTAAAGCCTAAGATTGGTGCTTGATGTATTTTTTAGACCCTGTATTTTGATGGACCAGCTGATGTCACCTGGACAGGTAACCCATTAAGAAACAAACAAACAAACAAACAAAAAGCCGCCAGCCTGACCAACATGGGGAAACCCCATCTCTACTAAAAACATAAAAATTAGCCAGGCATGGTGGTGCGCGTCTGTAATCCCAGCTACTCAGGAGGCTGAGGCAGGAGAATCGCTTGAACCCAGGAGGTGGAGGTTGCAGTGAGCCGAGATCACACCATTGCCTGGGTGACAGAGTGAGACTCCGTCTCAAAAAAACAAAAAAACAAAAAGCAAACAACAAAAAAAACTGGCTCAGCTGGTCTCATGAACCCCTGATCCAGGAACTGACTCAGTGCAAGAAGACAGCTTTGACCCTTTATGATTTCATCCCTTACCCAACAAATTAGCATTCCCCAGTCCCTACCCGCTGTCCACCAAACTATCCTTGAAAAACTCTGGCCTCCAAATTCTCAGGGAGGTGGATTTGAGCATTATCTTTCATCCTTCCACTTGGCTGGCCCTGCAATTATTAAACTCTTTCTTTGCTGCAAAACCTGCTGTTCTCACTGCATTGGCTTTTCTGCGTGGCAGACAAGAAGAACCTATCAAGTGATTACAGAATTGCTGGTAAGAAAAGTGTATCTTCAACTAGATACTGCCACACTCTTTTCCAAATTTACTGCATTCACTTGCACTTGCAGTAGCTGTATATTAGTGTTTTTCTTGCTCTACTTAGTTGAAGTCACTGTAATGTTTCTCATTGTGATTACTATGCATGTTCTCGAACCATATCCCTGTTTATTTCATTTTAATCTATTGATTGTATTTAAATGTATACTCTGTACTGTAGCCTCTGAAGTTATCTTAAAAACACATTTTTTTTTTTTTTTTTTTTTTTTTTTTTTTGTGGTGCCACTGTTTACAACCCTTCAAGCACTTCCTAATGTTGTCTTAAAAGTCAAAGCTTCTTAGACTTTCATGTTTGGTCTGATATGGTTTGGCTGTGTCCCCACCCAAATCTCATCTTGAACTGTAGTTCTGACAACCCCCATGTCTCAGGAGGGACCCTGTGGGAGGTAATTTAATCATGGGGGTCAGTTACCCTCATGCTGTTCTCATGATAATGAGTTCTCACTAAATCTGATGGTTTTATAAGGGGCTTTTTCTCCTTTTGCTTGGCACTTCTCCTTGCTGCCACCATGTGAAGAAGGGCATGGTTGCTTCCCCTTCTGCCATGATTCTAACTTTCCTGAGGCCTCCCTAGCCATCCTGAACTGTGAGTCAATTAAACCTCTTTCCTTTATAAGTTACCCAGTCTCAGATATGTCTTTATTAACAGCATGAGAATAGACTTACACAGGTCCAATGCTTAACTCTCAAATTTTATATCCCTCTCCTCCTACATTTGAACTCATACTAAACTATTTTTAACTTCCCCCTAAAAATGAAATTTGTATGTCTCAGTTTAATCACAGTCCTGTGAATTAATGACTCCAATCCTCTCTTCCCTTAACTTTCACAAAGATAACTACTACACATTCTTCAAAAACCTATTTATGACATCCATTGTCTATAAAGCTTTCCCCAGCCTGAAGCCTATGTTAGATTTCCTTACTGTGAGGTCCATGCAACTGTCCATAGTGTTTTCCAGGCTGTATTGCCATGTTTCCATATGGAAATTCCTTCCTGGCATTTCTTGGGAAATTTATAATTTTCCAAATCGTGACAAAAATCAGTCAAGAAAGAAGGAAAATGGGGAAAGTATAATTAAAATTCTGCATAGGCAGAATAATGCCCCCCTCCAAGATATTCATATTTTAATCCTCAGAACCTGTGAATCTATTACTTTGCATGGGAACAATGACTTTGCAAATGTGATTAAAGTTAGGAGTTTGAGCTAGAGAGATTAGCCTGGATTATCCAGGTGAGCCTAATTTAATCACATGAATCCTTAAAAGTAAACAACCTCTCTCTGCTGTTTCAGAGAGCAATTAAATGACAGAGGATTAGAACGAAGTGACATGAGAAGGAACTGATTATTTGAATATGTGTGGCACTTCTCGTTTTGTGCTCTCTCCTGTCACTATGTACCTTGCTTTCTCTTTGCCTTCCGCCATGATTGTAACCTTCCTGAGTCCTCTCCAGCCATGAACTATGAGTCAATTAAAACTTCTTTTTTTTATAAGTTACCCACTCTCAGGTAGTTCTTCATAGCAATGTGAAAATGGACTAATACAGAAAACTGGTACCAGGAAAGTGTGGCACTGCTACAAAGATACCTGAAAATGTGGAAGTGACTTTGGAACTGGGTAACAGGCAGAGGTTGGGAGAGTTTGGAGGGCTCAGAAGAAGACGGGAAGATATGGGAAAGTTTGGAACTTCCTAGAGACTTGTTGAATAGTTTTGATCAATATGTTGATAGTGATATGGACAATAAAGTCCCGGCTGAGGTAGTCTCAGATAGAGATGAGGAACTTATTGTGAACTGTAGTAAAGGTCACTCTTTCTATGCTTTAGCAAAGAGACTGGTGACATTTTGTCCCTCTCCTAGAGATCTGTTAAACTTTGAACTTGAGAGAGATAAGTTAGGGCATCTGGCAGGAGAAATTTGTAAGCAGAAAGGCATTCAAGATTTGACCGAGTGGTTTCTTTTTCTTTTCCTTTTTTTTTTTTTTTTTTTTTTGAGATGGAGTCTCACTGTGTCACCCAGACTGGAGTGCAGTGGTGTGATTTTGGCTCACTGCAACCTCTACCTCCCAGGTTCAAGCGATTCTCCTGCCTCAGCCTCTCAAGTAGCTGGGAAAATTACAGGCATGCACCACCACGCCCTGACCTGGCAGTTTCTAAAAGTGTACAGTCACATGCATTCACAAAGAGATGGTTTGAAATTGGAATTTATGTTTAAAAGGAAAGAAGACATTAAAAGTTTGGAAAATTTGCAACTTGACCATGTGGTTAAAAAAATAAAAACCATTTTCTGGGGAGAAATTCAGGCTGGCTGCATAAATTTGCATAAATCAAGAGGATCCTGATGTTAATCTCCAAGAAAGTGAAGAAAAAGTCTCCAGGGCATTTCAGAGATCTTCACGGCAGCACCTCCCATCACAGTCCTAAAGGCCTAGAAGGGAAAAATTGTTTCTTGGGTTGGGCCCAGGTCCTCGGTCCTCTGTGCAGCCTTGGGACGTGAAGACCCGTGTCCCAGCAGCTCCAGCTCCAGCCATGGCTCAGGCCACTGCTTCAGAGGGTGCAAGCCCCAAGCCTTGGCAGCTTCCACATACTGCTGGGCCTGCAGGTGTGCACAAGAATTGAGGTTTAGGAACCTCCACCTAGATTTCAGATAATATAGGGAAGTGCCTGGATATCCAGGCAGAAGTGTGCTGCAGGAATGGAGCTGTCATGGAAACCTCTATGAGGGCAGTGCACCGGAGAAATGTGGGGCTGGAGCCCTCACACAGAGTTCCTACTGGGGCACTGCCTAGTGGAGCTGTGAGAAGAGGGCCACAGTCCTATAGAACCCAGAAAGATAAATTCACCGATAGCTCGCCCTGGCTGCCTGGAAAAGCTGTCGGCACTCAATGCCAATCCACGAAAGCAATCAAAGGGGCTGTATCTTGCAGACACACAAGAGTAGAATTGCCTAAGGCCTTGAGAGCCCACTTGTTGCATCAGCATTCCCTGGATGTGAGACATGGAGTCAAAGGAGATTATTTCAGAGCTTCGAGACTTAATGACTGTCCTGCTGGGTTTTGGATTTGGATGGGGCCCATAGCCCCTTTGTTTTGACCAATTTCTCCCTTTTGGAACAGGAGTATTTACCCAATGCCTGTAACCCCATTGTAACTAATCTGTTTTTGATTTTACAGGCTCATAGGTGGAATGGACTTGTTTGTCTCAGAAAGACTTTGGACTGGACTTTTGGTTTAATGCTGGAATGAGTTAAGACTTTGGGGAACTCTTGGGAAGGCACGATTGGCTTTGAAAAGTGAAAAGAACATGATATTTTAAAGGGGCCAGGGGCAGAACAATATGGTTTGGCTCTGCATCCCTGCCCAAATCTTATCTCAAATTGTAATTCTAACATGTTGGGGGAGGGGCCTGGTGGGAGGTAATTGAATCATGGGGGCACACTTCCCCTTTTCTGTTCTTGTGATAGTGAGTGAGTTCTCATAAGATCTGGTGGCACTTCCCCCTTCACACTCTTTCTCTCCTGCCACCATGTAAGATGTGTCTTGCTTCCCCTTTGTCTTTTGCCATGATTGTACATTTCCTGAGGCCTCTCCAGCCTCAGGAACTGTGTGTCAATTAAACCTCTTTTCTTTACAAATTACCCAGTCTCAGGTAGTTCTTTACAGCAGTGTGTAAAAGGACTAATACAAAGACATTATGCTAAGTGAAATAAGCCAGGCACAGAAAGACAAATACCATATGTTCTCACTTTTATGTGGACTTTATAATAGTTGAATTCTAGAAGTAGAGAACAGAATAGTTACCAGAGATTTAGGAGTGAGAGGAATGAAGAGATATTGTTGAAAGAGTGCAAAGTTTCTGTGAGACAGGAGAAATAAATGGTAATTATTAGAGGCGATGGGTATGAACTTGATTTAGTCATATCAAATTGGATGCATACATTAAAGCATAACTCTATACGCCATAAATGTAAGTGATTATAATCTGTCAATATTCAATATTATATACACATATATGTAATTATATAAAGATACCTATAATATATAGAAAATGCATCTACTGAGACTGAATGAACCTTTATTTAAACTGGAAGCTGTAAAATTGATCAATATAAATATATATAATGTTATATAAAGGTTATAGTGGGCCTATTGGGTCTTCTAATAACAACCTCTATATTTCTCCCCACTAAATAATGAGTATTAATCAGAGTGCCTAATGGAATAATTTTAGTCCAATCAATTATTTTCTTCAGCATCTAATTTTCTCATATTCCATAATGTCTTGTTTTCATGCATAACATTTTTTTCCTTCATGACCATTATGCTAAATTTTAGTTATTTTATGTGCACTTGTTCCAAGCACATTTTCTTAAATATCTGTTCCTTATCTATTGATTTCTATGGAAATTTTTATTTTCCTCCAAAATGGCATCTGGGAGTTCATATGATTGGACTATTTTTATCCTTATTGCTGTTTGTCTTCATTTGTCTTTTTCTCTGATCACTATTATACACACACACACACACACACACACACACATACATACATATATAAATATATATGTGCATATATATTTCCCAGTATTTAATACATTTAATATCCCTTAGTGGATAGGGATGACAACTTACAAATTTAAATACTTTTTTTTATAAAAGAGTCATTTTTTTCTATTGAATTTAAGCTAAAACGTGATCCCTCAGTTCTGTAGGCCATTGCACTTTCAATATAGCATTATTAAATCCAAATCATTACATAGCAATAAGCAAATAACTACACCCATAAGAAGAATGCCCATATAATTGAGCAAAAGAACACTTTGCCCTGGAGCCTGTGCTTTCAAGGGCTCCACTATGGTCCTCTCTCTGGCCACATTCCTCCCCAAAGTACAAGGAGTTTACCTGGTCCAAGGGGATGAGGTTAGTTGGAGGTGATGCTGCTCACCCCCACCTACCACCTTTTAGATCATGCTGTAGAACATAAAGACTTAGAATTCTGTCTTCAAAGGGTTTTGAGACTGCTTCCAGCGTCCATGTTCCTCTCCACCAGTTCTGTCTTTCATGGTGAACCACGTATACAGAGTGCACAACTAGAGGCCCTGTGGGCCAATGGGAAGCTTTTTGCTAGAGCTACAGTGGTAGACTGAGTTTCAACATATCAACAGAGGTACCCAAAACGTATACACAGAAGGCCTCTCATGGTATGAGACCAGGTCAGGGCACCGGCTCTCTCTATGTCGTCATATTCTATGCTGGATGTTGACGGCCCAAGAATTCTAGTTCCAAACCTGAATTTCATTGAGAAGGTATATGTGTCAAAGTGAGAGAACACAGCATACTTTATTTAACAGTTTGTTAACTTGATTTATAACTTTTAAATATGCAAACATACACTATATAGGTTTTGATTATTATTCTTGCCCTAGGCCTTAAGAATGTTAAGTTTAAGACAACTGAATATTTTATTAGATATAAGAATGCAACCACATATACTCAAAAACATAAATGTCAAACTAGTAGTCCCTACTTCTAAAATATAATGAAATATTCCATTTAACATTATATTTAGAGTGGATCCCTTATGGAATCATGACATCTTTGCTGATTTAGTTACAGTTGAACTAAGTATTTTGCCTGAAATCAACACTTTATTTTTCAAAACTCCCAAGATATAGTGTGTGACAGATATGTCTTCCACTTATTTTTTTAACCTAGGCTTTATTAATAAGACAAATTATTAGTCACAAATAAAACCTTAAAAATACAGTTCAGCCTTATTTACAACTATTTAGTTACCTAAAATATCCTACATTATACACACACAGGCGCACACACACATATTTCTAATAGAAACTATAAGAAGCAGCCTCGACAAATCAAGAGGACATTATGTTACGTAAAATAAGGTAAGAACAGAAAGTTAAACACTGCATGTTCTCACTCATATGTGGAAACTAAAAAAAAGTTGATCTCAGAGGAGGAAAAAGTAGAATGGAATATACTAGAGACAGGGAAGGGTGGGATGAGAGAAGGATAAAGAAAGATTTGTCAAGGGATACAAAATTAAAGCTAGAGACAAATAAGTTCTAGTGTTCTATAGCATTGTGGGATGACCGTAGTTGACAATAATATATAGTTTCAAATTGCTAGAAGGGGTAAACTGAATGTTCCCATCACAAAGAAATAATAAATTTTGACATGATGGATATGTGAATTACACGAATCTGTTAACTATTCATTGTATGTATCGAAATATCACTACATACCCCATAAATATGTACAATTATCACGTCAATTTAAAAAATATAATAATTAAGAAAAAATACAAAACATTAAATAACGGTGATAGTAGATTTGCCCTCTCAAATATTAAAACATTTGATAAATTTACATAGTTAAAATAGAGGGTAAATATAGAAAAATAATAAAAATTGTGATGAAATCTTGGTGATAACTTGACAGTGCTACTTTGAATATTAAGAATAGTGTAGCTGGCTGGGTGCAGTGGCTCATGCCTGTAATCCCAGCACTTTGGGAGGCTGAGGTGGGTGGATCACCTGAGGTCGGGAGTTTAAGACCAGCCTGACCAACATGGAGAAACCTGTCTCTACTAAAAATACAAAATTAGTTGGGCGTGTTGACAGATGCCTGTAATCCAAGCTACTTGAGAGGCTGAGGCAGGACAATCACTTGAACCCAGGAGGCGGAGGTTACGGTGAGCTGAGATTGTGCCACTGCACTCCAGCCTGGGCAACAGAGGGAGACTCCATTTCAACAACAACAACAACAACAACAACAACAACAAAATATATATATATATATATATATATATAGTGTAGCAGAACCAAAATTTAACAGGTGCAAACCTTTAAATAAGTGTATCCTCTCTAAATGATTTGAACTTGCTTATGGATAATCAAGGTCATAATGTTTGGGACATAAATGCCTGCATACTTATACCAAAATATATCAGCAGTTACAACTAAAATGATCTTACATATTATTTGTCATATCAGGACTATTACTATTATTATAATTACTATTTTTATTATGCTGAAGGTATATGATAAATTTTGAGATGTGATTGATGGATGCTTAGGTTTGAAGAAGCAAAATTAGAGAAAGAGCTTAAAGGTGTCTCTGATATCTTCCTTTCTCCCTGGATATGGGCTCTGTAACTACTACATTCAAATATAATCTGGAATATCTAAGGTGCTTTCTTCACAATCTTCCACAAGGGACTGAGAATCATAATGAGACACATTAATGAAGCCTAGTTATCATCTGATAATACTGTCATTAACATTTATTATCACATAATTAGATTGTGCATTAGCCATTTCTCAGAGCCACTTTAAAAGAAAAAAAAAATACGAGGACATATATGAGAACAAACACTGTAAGGAGTGCCTGTATAGTGATAATGTTTCAGAGTGAATGAGACATTTTATCACCTGGCATATTAACAGTGTGAAAGGACAGGGATCATATCAACCTCTCCCCTTCTTCTCTCTATCCTTTACATATTAGTTACTTGTTAAATCTTCTACCTTCTCAAACTGGAGCAATTATCTTAGCAATGACAGTTTTAGTGATGGGAGCAAATCATAATAGCTGTGGGTAATTGTTAGAAAGAAATGACTATAAATCATGCTGCTATAAAGACACATGCACACGTATGTTTATTGCGGCATTATTCACAATAGCAAAGACTTGGAACCAACCCACATGTCCAACAGTGATAGACTGGATTAAGAAAATGTGGCACATATACACCATGGAATACTATGCAGCCATAAAAAATGATGAGTTCATGTCCTTTGTAAGGACATGGATGAAATTGGAAATCATCATTCTCAGTAAACTATCGCAAGAACAAAAAACCAAACACCGCATATTCTCACTCATAGGTGGGAACTGAACAATGAGATCACATGGACACAGGAAGGGGAATATCACACTCTGGGGACTGTGGTGGGGTGGGGGGAGGGGGGAGGGATAGCATTGGGAGATATACCTAATGCTAGATGACGAGTTAGTGGGTGCAGCGCACCAGCATGGCACATGTATACATATGTAACTAACCTGCACAATGTGCACATGTACCCTAAAACTTAAAGTATAATACAAAAATACAAAAAAAAAAAAAACACAGCTCTGAACTTTATAGGTCATGATATCTCTGTAGCTTGTGGGTTTAGCTGCATTTTGAAAAAGATAACTGTGTCTCCCTTAGCATCTTCCTTTTTCCTATTTTTTCTTGTAAGTTTACAAAGGTCAGATGCCAGTATGATCTAGAATAAGAGGTTTTGTGGCTGACTTTGAAAGGTTACTTTAGAGAAAAATCTCATGAAGCAGCAGTACTCCAAAGTGCTGCGGGGAATGTGGCTAAAATCTTGTTACATCCTAATGGAGCTTCTAACACATTAGACATATAGAGCATCAGATTCCAGAATGTGTCTGAGGGATTTAGTCTCTAGTTACTAAAAGGAAACGAAGAGGCATCTCAAGGTTAGAGTTACACTGACGAGGTCATGTTCATGGGACATCAAAGCAACGTGGAAATCAATTCTATCATCATAGCAAAGCCTGAAGTGCCTGTTTAATGATTAATTAGAATAATAATTGAAATGCAACATAATTATGATAAACAAGGAAATGCCAGAGGCTTCTTTTCTCTATGGACTACAATACCATAGTGAATTGGGCCTTTCAAAATCCAGAAACTTTTTATTGGCTGTTTGTTTCACGAAAGCAGAAATACTCCAGGATGTGTTTTCAGTAATTAAGGTAATCTTTATAATACATATTTTACTTTAGCCCAGCTGACTATCCAAATGAGTGAGTGTTTGGTGACTAATGTAAATATCTGTATGAACCAATTCCAGATATTTTAGCTGTGAATGACTCCATGATAATTATAATAGAAGCAAAATGAGTGTTCCTCATTTTAATGTGACCTAATAACACCATATCATTTAAGACAATATTTATTTTTTAGTATAATATGAACTGGTCCTAATTCTGAGGTATGCTCATACCTTAGAGTATCAACACTAGAGAGTTATTACAATTAATGACTGGCTTTCTATTGTGTTACAGCCAGTTAAATTTTTTTTTTCAAAATTCTCTTCTGCAAGTCATTTCTGAGGTCTTCTTGCAAACCATTTGCACAGTCATAACATCTATACAAGTATTTGCTTATTACCTTGGCCAGAAAAATCTCTTTTCAAGGCTGCTTCACAGGGTTTCTTGAGTATGCATGAGTCAACACACATGTTCATAGAGGAGAAGATTGTGCTGATTTGCTCTACACCAACGTTCTGTTAAAGGTGGAACCAAGTCACTTCTGTCACTGATCAGAGCACCGCTTATAACCAAATAAAATAAAAATAAAAAATTTAAAATACTTAGCCTAGACCTGACTGCAATATCTAACAAAACTTTCCTGGAGGCTTAAGTATTAAGCGAAGTACAATACAGAAAGTGACTTCCTTGAAGAGATCCTTCACATCCCTTGTAAGTTGGATTCCTAGGTATTTTACTCTCTTCGTAGCAATTGTGAATGGGAGTTCACTCATGATTTGGCTCTCTGTCTGTTATTGGTGTATAGGAATGCTTGTGATATTTGCATATTGATTTTGTATCCTGAGACTTTGCTGAAGTTGCTTATCAACTTAAGGAGATTTTGGGCTGAGACGATGAGGTTTTCTAAATATACAACCATGTCATCTGCAAACAGGGACAATTTGCTTCCTCTTTTCCTAATTGAATACCCTTTATTTCTTTCTCTTGCCTGATTGCCCTGGCCAGAACTTCCAACACTATGTTAAATAGGAGTGGTGAGAGAGGGCATCCTTGTCTTGTGCCGGTTTTCAAAGGGAATGCTTCCAGTTTTTGCCCATTCAGTGTGATATTGGCTGTGGGTTTGTCACAAATAGCTCTTACTATTTTGAGTTACATTCTATCAATAACCTAGTTTATTGAAAGTTTTTAGCATGAAGGGCTATTGAATTTTATTGAAGGCCTTTTCCGCATCTATTGAGATAATCGTGGTTTTTGTCATTGGTTCTGTTTATGTGATGGATTATGTTTATTGATTTGTGTATGTTGAACCAGCCTTGCATCCCAGGGATGAAGTCGATCTTATTGTGGTGGATAAGCTTTTTGATGTGCTGCTGGATTCAGTTTGCCAGTATTTTATTGAGGATTTTTGCACTGATGTTCATCAGGGATATTGGTCTAAAATTCTCTTTTTTTTTGTTGCATCTCTGCCAGGCTTTGGTATCAGGATGAGGTTGGCCTCATAAAATGAGCTAGGGAGGAGTCCCTCTTTTTCTATTGATTGGAATAGTTTCAGAAGGAATGGTAACAGCTCCTCTTTGTACCTCTGGTAGAATTCAGTTGTGAATCTGTCTGGTCCTGGACTTTTTTTGGTTGGTAGGCTCAAAATACCAATGACTTTCTTCACAGGATTGGAAAAAACTACTTTAAAGTTCATATGAAACCAAAAAGGAGCCTGCATTGCCAAGACAATCCTAAGCAAAAACAAAACAAAACAAACAAACAAAAAACAAAGCTGGAGGCATCATGCTACCCAACTTTAAACTATACTACAAGGCTGCGGTAAACAAAACAGCATGGTACTGGTTCCAAAACAGAGATATAGATCAATGGAACAGAACAGAGCCCTCAGAAATCATACTACACATCTACAACCATCTGATCTTTGACAAACCTGACAAAAACAAGAAATAGGGAAAGGATTCCCTATTTAATAAATGGTGCTGGGAAAACTAGCAACCCATGTGTAGAAAGCTGAAACTGGATCCCTTCCTTACACCTTATACAAAAATTAATTCAAGATGGATTAAAGACTTAAATCTTAGACCTAAAACCATAAAAACCCTAGAAGAAAACCTAGGCAATACCATTCAGGACATAGGCATGGGCAAGGACTTCATGACTAAAACACCAAAAGCAATGGCAACAAAAGCCAAAATTGACAAATGGGATCTAATTAAACTAAAGAGCTTCTGCATGGCAAAAGAAACTACCTGTTCTGTAGAACAGGTAACCTACAGAATGGGAGAACATTTTTGCAATCTACCCATCTGAAAAAAGGCTAATATACAGAATCTACAATGAACACAAACCAATTTACAAGAAAAAAAACAAACAACCCCATCCAAAAGTGGGCAAAGGAAACGAACAGACACTTCTCAAAAGAAGACATTTATGCAGCCAACAGACACATGAAAAAATGCTCATCGTCACTAGTCATCAGAGAAATGCAAATCAAAACCACAATGAGATACCATCTCACACCAGTTAGAATGGAAATCATTAATAAGTCAGGAAACAACAGATGCTGGAAAGGATGTGGAGAAATAGGAACAATTTTACACTGTTGGTGGGAGTGTAAATTAGTTCAACCATGTGGAAGAGAGTGTGGCAATGCCTCAAGAATCTAGAACTAGAAATACCATTTGACTCAGCAATCACATTACTGGGTATATACTCAAAAGATTATAAATCATGCTACTATAAAGACACGTGCACACATACGTTTACTGCAACACTATTCATAATAGCAAAGACTTGGAACCAACCCAGATGTCCATCAATGATAGACTGGATTAAGAAAATGTGGCACATAGCATGGAATACTATGCAGCCATAAAAAAGGATGAGTTCATGTCCTTTGCAGGGACATGGATGAAGCTGGAAGCCATGATTCTCAGCAAAGTATCACAAGGACAGAAAACCAAACACTGCATGTTCTCTCATAGGTGGGAATTGAACAAGGAGATCACTTGGACACAGGGTGGGTAACATCATAAACCAGGTCCTGTTGGGGGTGGGGGCCTGGGGGAGGGATAGCATTAGGAGAAATACCCAATGTAAATGACGAGTTGATGGGTGCAGCAAACCAACACGGCACAGGTTATACCTATTTATCAAACTTCCACGTTGTGCACATGTACCCTAGAACTTAAAGTATAATTAAAAAAAAAAAAAGTGACTTCCCCTAGTAACAAAGGTGATTACTTTCAGGGCCCAAAGGTCCAAGACAAATATCAGGATCCCTGAAAGTTTTCATATGTTCAAGGTCTACTTAATCACAATCTATCAAAATTTTCTGGTTTTATTTTAACTTTAATGCCTTAGTTCACCACATTCTTCATTTCTACGTCCTGATTCCAAAAGCTTCAACAGTCATGAAAATGTCGTCTTCCTTCAAATTCAAGGATTGTTACCACTCAAAAGTTAGACACAGCACACATATCCATTTATTTATGTGTGAAGTCCTCTCTCCTATCTGCTGTGGATCATTCAATCTCCAGGTCTCCCAGAGAATATCACAGTATTTTTTCAAAGTCTGAAATAATTCATCACAAAATACAAAACACTGTATGTGGGCAACCAGCAGTCTAGTCTAACTCCATTTGAAAACTTCAAATGATTTTCTAAGTCTCTGAAAGACAATCCTCTTAAAAGTATACTAAAATTCATGTGTTCAGATATACAGTGACTTTATGACTTTTGTTTTCACATGCACACACATATGAGTGCTCTCATACAGGAATAAGTAAATTAATTTACATTTGTATAAACATAGTACTGTTCTGCTGGTTTTCTATTAAGTAAAGGAAGACTCCTAATAGAATGGATGCTTTCTTTGCTAGAAAAAGAATTCATGTGATATTGGCTGATTTGTGTTCCCCCCAATTCATATATTGAATCCCTAAATCTGAGTACCACAGAATGCAACCCATTTGGAGACAAGATATTTAAAGAAGGAATTAAGCAAAAATTAGGTCAATAAGATGAGTTCTAATCCAATATATCTGGTGTCCTTTTAAAAAGAGATTAAGACAGACAGAGACACCAGACAAATGCACACACTAAGAGACAATCATGTGAACACACAGCAAGAAGGCAGCCATCTGCAAGCCAAGGAGAGGCCTCAGCAAAAACCAAACCCGCTGACACCTTGATGTCAGATTTCCCAACTCCAGAACTGTGGGAAAATACATTGCTGTTGTTTAAGCCATCCAGTCTCTTGTATTTTGTTGTGGCAGCCCTGGTAAAATAATATGTGGTGCTTAATAGATTTTGAATTAAAATTATCTTAACAAGCATAGTAATACTAACGTGAACATTATTTTTTTTTCCACCTGGTACCTATTACCTTATGTACAGATAATAATATATATAACATATAAAATAATTACTCCATAAATTACAGAAAAATATCACTATCATTGACTCATGTACTTTAACATACGAGTGACTATATTGTAACTTTTTCTTATAGCTTAGATAGAAACTTGAAACCTAGAAAGGTTTGAGTATTTGTTTTTTTTTAATTTAAATTTAATTGACTTTCTGAAGTTCAAAGTGATGCTTTATATATGACATAATTAATCTCTCATTTGAATTCTATGATGTTGGCAGGGACAATTTTACTTTTCCCATCATGAATTTTTTTGGTGTGAATTTAAAATAAATAAAATCACCAAAAGAAAAACTGAGAAAAAATTACCTACACAGCTGAATCTTTGAGGTACACTAATCAATTTCATTTTATTTTATAGAGTGCCTTTTGTATTGAATAGTCACATTACATAATTTTTGAAAAAAATACTTTTTTTGAGCACTTCCTGTGTATAAAGTCTTATGCTAGTTACAACACAAGCATCATTGTTTTAAGCATCACAACACACGCATCATACCTGTGTCTTCCTAATTTACAGACAAAAGGTTCAGAAAATTAAATAATTTGCCTAAGATTGCAAAACTAGTAATCAACAAAACCAATGTTAGGGATTATTCAAATTCTAAACCAAGGCTTCTAAGTGTCACGCAATATTTTTAAGAAGGGTTAGCCTGAAGGAGGATTCCCAAATGATGAAGCTTAGACATATTGTATGTATCTAAGTATGTTTGTATATACATATTGTACACATTTCTATATATGAAGGTATTCATAATATATAAGCATACGTATACATATATTTGAATGTAAATATGTGTGTATATATACACATATGCATACATATATGTGTGCTTATATATACTTACACATACACACACGGACTTATTTTTCTATGTAATCATGATACATTTTGGAGAAGTGTGGTAAGTTAAAAGTAAAATATTATAGAATATTAAAAAATAATTAAAAGTAAATTTAAGTATTTTACCCAATTTCTTTAAGCACATTAAAGTATACTTCATAAAAAACATAGCAAAATTTCATCACCCTATCCTCTCCTCTCAAAATTAGTAGAATCCCTAAATTACTCTTGAGATCTTCATAGATAGAGTAGGAAATAATGAACTTAACCACTTTAACCAATTAAAAGGAAAAATACAATCAATTCAACTATCATAGAAAATATCCTTTGATAAAGTTCTATACAGATCTTGGTATAAAATGTTTGGATTACTAGAAACAATATATATATTTTTTTACTTGACAAACTGCATCAACTAAAACTTAACATTGCTTCAGAAATAAAATGATAGAACTAATCTCATTAAGTTAAAGAGTACAATAAACTGACCTAGAATCACTATTTCTCTCTGCATCATCTAGGAGATCCTAGGCACCCAAAATTAAAAGAAATTAGCAAGATCTGATTATCCAGTGATGTATTAGAGTCTGTTGAAATGGGTTAACATTAATAAATGAAAAGAATATGTTTATCTGAAGTACCGTCTTATTTCTGGTCAGAAAATGAGCAAATCACGTAGGTGCTTACACTTGCTAAATTGGACACCACAGACCAAAGCTGGAACATAAATCTAGTAGAACAAAATGTCAATATTCATTATTGGTTATAGCTTAATATAGAAGTACAGACACCCACTGATTTTACTCTCTGCACCAGCACATCCTCAACAAAGAATTCAGGGCACACTGTCACATTGGAGGATATAGCCATTGAAGTTGTGAGCAATACCTATGACTCAGCGGAGAGTTGAAGATTTGAGGAGCTTTCTTTTGGGAGAACCAGAGCTATATGAAATGAAAGGAGAAATAAAAATGTCACTGCAGAAGGAAGAATTAGAATCTTTATTCTAGGATTGGCAGACTGTATCAGTAATTCATGAATATTGTTTGGGAGATGTGTGTGCTTCCAGTCTGAGCCAGCTGGGAAATCATCTGGGTTTTTCTAAAGAATACTGTCCCATTGTCCTCAGAGTGAATCATGAGGACTCTGAGTTCTTAGAGAGGAAAGGAGATTAAACAGCATTAGGATGACATAAATTTTGTTTGAGAATATAGAAATATTATTAATTCCAAAGTTATTAACACTGTCCAATACATTAAGAATAAAACTTGTTCAATATGATAAATTATTGATAAATATTCGTATGAGAAATAAGTCAGACAACTAGAGATAATATATGTAGGTTGTTGTTTGTTGGTCAAAATTGTGAACACTTGTTAGGATGGATAGCTTTATTTGGTGTTCTCAGGACATCCCTATGGGGATTAGAAAGTCTACATTTTGAAGAGGTGGTAAAATTAAAAAAATTCTTCTTTCATGATAGATTTCTCATCTGCAGGGTATTAGCGAACGTGCTTTAGATTGGAAAGATGATACACACATGCATACACACACATGCTTTCAACTTCACAGACTCAAATGATTTCACAAACTGAAAATTTGTAGTACTCTAATAATGTTTTAGGAAAACTGCATTCTAAAGAAAACAAAACAAATAAATCAATATGTTGCTTGGGTCATAATTACAATGCTTGTCAATTATAAATTCCTGACCTCCATAAATGTCCATTTTTGGTTAATGGACATAGACTCATAAAGGAATTATGTCACTTGTGTGCTGACTTGCTAGGACTGGCATGACAAAGTATCACAAAGTGAGTGGATTTAATAACAGAAATTTATTGTCTTTTAGTTCTAGAGGATAGAAGTCTAAGATGAATGTGTTGGCAGGGTTGGCTCCTTCTTCTGCTTTTTTTTTTTTTTTTTTAATTGAGTCTCACTCTGTCACCCAGGCTGGAGTGCAGTGGCGCGATCTTGGCTCACTGCAACCTTTGCCTCCCAGGTTTAAGCGATTCTCCTGCCTCAGCCTCCCGAGTAGCTGGGACTTCAGGCGCCTGCCACCAGGCCCGGCTAATTTTTTGTGTTTTTAATAAAGACGGGGTTTCACCGTGTTAGCCTGGATAGTCTCGATCTCCTGACCTCGTGATCTGTCTGCCTCAGCCTCCCAAAGTGCCAGGATTACAGGAGTGAGCCACCGCCCCGGGCCTGGGGTTGGCTCCTTCTAAGGGCTGTGAGGAAGAATCTGTTTCATGCTTTTCCCATTGTTTCTAGTGGTTTTCTGGCAATCTTTGCTGTTTCTCCACATCTTTGCCAACACTTGTGTTATCTCTTATCTTTTTTGATAGTAGCCATCATCTCGGGTATGAAGTGTTATCTCATTGTGGTTTTGATTTGCATTACCCTGATGATGAGTCAGACAAAAAAAGACTAATATTGCAGAATCTCATTTATATGTGGAATCTTAAAAAGTTAAACTTATAGAAGTAGACAGCAGAATGGTGGTTACTAGGGGCATGGACATATAAAAAAGAGGGTGGTGTCAGTCAAATGGTATAAATTGCAGTTATAACACCAAAAGCTCAGAGTGTCTGGGTGCTTTCTTGCATCTGAGTACTTTCCTGGTGGCCTGAGAGCATTTCAGATCTCCTAGTGTACCCAGAAGCCAACCCAAGGATCTGGAGAATGGAACCACAAGCCAGTCCTGTTGTCCCAGGAATTCAGCATGCAGCTTGGGAGTGCCGAGCCAAGATCTGTGGCCATTACTCAAGCAGGGGAGGAGCCTACACTCAGAATAGGTGGGGATTGATGGGGTGGCACAGGAAATAGTTATGTCCCCCTTGACCGGGCCAGTTCAAAAAGTGTGTGGCTTATCCCCATAATACAGCATCTGCCCAAAGGAGCCCCACAGTCCAGAACATCTAATAAAAGAAACAGAGGCAGCTGGGCGCACTGGCTCATGCCTGTAATCCCAGCACTTTGGGAGGCCGAGGTGGGCAGATCACCTGAGGTCAGGAGTTCGATACCAGCCTAGCCAACATGTGAAACCCTGTCTCTACTAAAACCACAAAAAATTAGCTGAGCGTAGTGGTGCGCGCCTGTAGTTCCAGCTACTTGGGAGGCTGAGGCAGGAGAATCGCTTGAACCCGGGAGGCAGAGGTTGCAGTGAGCCGAGATTGTGCCACTGCACTCTAGCCTGGGTGACAGAGTGAGACTTCATCTCAAAAAAAAAAAAGGAAAGAAAAGACACAGAGGCACAGTGCCAATGATGAGAGGAGCTCCCCCAAGGACCAGAAGTTGACCTGCTGAGGGGGTCACTTCTCTCCCTCTCACACTGTGGAGCATGGCTGCAAATGCAAGAAAAGACAAAGGAGCTGTGTGACTGAGTAAAGAGCCTATCTACTGTCATTACTCTTATGTCTCTTATGTGTCATTTAGTGGATCACAGCCCAAACTAAAACATCAAATATCTTTTGCTAATATACTTCCCCGTGAAACCAAGAGCAAGAACTCAGTCACAAATAAAGACCTTGTACGGAGGTCTGGCCCTCTGAAAACACCCAAAAAGAAAAGCCAACTGACCGTACTCAACTTAGTCACCTTTAAAAGAACACCAGCCCTCTCAGAGGAGAAAGAATCAGCACAAGTACTCTGGCAATTTAAAAAGCCAGAGTGTGTACTTACTTCCAAAGGAGTCCACTAGCTCCCCGGTAATGGTTCTTAACCAGTCTGAAATGACTGAGATGACGGACGTAGAATTCAGAATTTGTATAGCAAGAAAGCACATCAAGACTTAGGATAAAATTAAAACCCAATCCAAGGAATGCAAGGAATATAGTAAAATGATGGAAGGACTGAAAGATTAGTAACTTTTAAAAGAAAGAACCACACTGAAATTCTAGAGCTCAAAAACTCACTACAAGATATATAATCGGAAGTATTAACAGCAAAATGGACCAAGGTGAGGAAAGAATCTCAGAGCTCAGTAACTGGTCCTTTAAACCAGGCTTAATTAGACAAAAAATAAATACAAAGTAAGTTTAAAATGAACAAAACCTTAGAGAAATATGGGATTCTATAAGGAGATCAAATATATGACTCATTGCAATTCCTGGGAGAAAAGGAGAAAGAATGAAAGACTTGTAAAATACACTTGAGGACACAGGCCATGAAAATTTTCTTAATCTTGCTAGTGAAATTGACTTGCAAATTCAAGAAATAGAGAGCATTCTGGCCAGATGCTGTAAAAGTCAACCATCCCCAAGGCTCAAAATTAGATTCACCAAGGTCAACACAGAAGGAAAAATCTTAAAGGCTGCCAGAAAGAAGAGTCAGGTCATATATATTATATACAGACAGAACCCCATCAGGCTGGCAATGGACCTCTCAGTAGAAGTTTTACAAACCAGAAGAGATTGGGCTTAGTTTCAGCAACTTAAAAAAAGGAAATGCCAATGAAGACTTTCATATCCCACCAAACTAAACTTCATCAATGGAGAAATAAAATTCTTCTCAGAAAAGCAAATACTGAGGAAATTTGTTTCCATTAGACCAGCCTTACAAGAGGGCGTTAAGGAAATGCTGAACGTGAAATTGAAAAATGACACCTGCTACTGCAAAAACACACTTAAGCACATAGCCCGCAGACACTGTAAAGCAACTACATGTTCAAGTCTACATCACACTTAGCTAACATGATGAAAGGATCAAAATCTCACATATCAATACTAACCTTGAGTTTAAATGGATTAAACACCCCACTTAAAAGACACAGAGTGGCAGGCAGGATAAAAAGACAAGAATTAACTGCCTTTTGTCTTCAAGAGACCTATAATGAAATCCACAAGCTCAAAGCAAAATGATAGAGAATGATCTACCAAGCAAAAGGACAACAACAAAAAAGAGCAAGAATCACTATTCTTGTATCAGATAAAACAGACTTAAAACCAATAATAATTAAGAAAGGCGTTATGTAATGATAAAGGATATAATCCAACAAGAAGACATAACTAACTGTCTTAAATATATATGCAACCAACATTGGAGCACCCAGATTGATAAAACAAGTTCCTCTTTATCTACCAAAAGACTTATTTAGCCACACATTCATAGTGGAAGACATCAACACCCCAGTGACAGCATTAGACAGATTATCAAAGCAGAACTCTAACAAAGAAACTTAACTTTGACACTTGACTTAAACTTGACACTAGACCAAATGTATCTAATAGGCATCCAAAGAACACTCCACCCAGCAACCACAGAATATACATTCTTCTGACCTTCACACAGAACATGTTCTAATATTGACCACATGGTCAGTCATAAAGCAAGTCTCAATAAATTCAAAGAATTAGATATCATACCAAGCACACTTTCAGAACAGAATGCAGTAAAAAAAAGAAGTGAATATCAATAAAATCTCTCAAAATTACACAAATACATTAAAATTAAACAATTTACTCCTGAATAACTAACTCTTCAGGGAACATCAAAATTAAGGCAGAAATAAAAAATTCATTGGAATTAATGAAAATAAGGACAAAACTTATCAAAATCTCTGGGATGTAGCTAAAGCAGTGGTAAGAGAAAAGCTTATAGCCCTAAACACCTTCATCAAGAAGTTAGAAAGATCTCAAATTATCAGTAAAAATAACTAGGCTCATGCCTGTAACCCCAGCACTTTGGGAGGCTGAGGCAGGTGGATCACGAGGTCAGGAGTTTGAAACCAGCCTGGCCAACATGGTGTAACCCTGTCTCTACTAAAAACACAAAAAATTAGCCAGGCGTGGTGATGCGTGCCTGTAATCCCAGCTACACAGGAGGCTGAGGCAGGAAAATTGCTTGAACCCGGGAGGCAGAAGTTGCAGTGAGCCAAGATTGTGCCACTGCACTCCAGCCTGGGCGACAGGGTGAAACTCCATCTCAAAAAATAAAATAAAATAAAATAAAAATAAACTAGAGAAGAACTATATGTAATTGAGGTTCAAAAATCCATACAAAAGATACATGAAACCAAGAGTTGGTTATTCAAACAAATAAGATTGATAGAGCACTATCTGAATTAACAACAACAGCACAAGAAGAAAATCCCATCAGAAATTAGAAAGAAAATATTACAAATGATTTTTCAGAAATACAAAACATCTCAGACTACTATGAACAACTCTGCACAAAAATTACAAAATCTGGAGACAATATATATATATTTCTGGAAACAGATAATACCTCAGAATTGAACTAGGAAAAAAATAAAATCCTGAATAGACCAATATCAAGTTCTGAAATTGTATCAGTAACAAAAAACCTACCAACCAAAAAAAGCCCTGGACCAGATGGATTTACAGTCAAATTCTCTCATATGTATAAAAAAGAACTGACATCAATCCTACTGAAACTATTCCAAAAAATTGAGGGAGACTCCTTCCTAACTAATTTTATGAAACAAGCATCAACCTGATACCACAATCTGGCAGAGACACAGTGAAAAAAAAAGTCAAAAACAAAACTTCCCGCCAGTATCCCTGATGAACATAGCCATAAAAATACTCAACAAAATACTAGCATACTGTATCCAGCAGCACATCAAAAAATTAATTCACCATGATCAAGAAGGTTTTATTCCTGTGATGCAAAGTTGTTTCAACCCATACAAATCTATAAATATGATTCACCACATAAACAGAATTAGACAGTAAAACCATATGATTATTTCAACAGATATAAAAAAAAGACTTTGATAAAATCCAACAGCCCTCCATGATAAAAAACTCTCAACAGAGTTGGCATCACAAAACATAGGTCAAAATAATAAAAGCCATCTATGGTAAACTCACAGCCAACATCATACCAAATAGGCCAAAGCTGGAGCCATTCCCCTTAAGAACTGCAAGACAAAGGTGCCCACTCTCACCACTCCTATTCAACATATACTAGAAGTTCTAGTCAGAGTAATAAAGTGAAAGAAAAAAATGAAAGGCATCCATATAGAAAAAGAAGATGACACTAATAAATGGAAAAGCATTACATGCTCATGGATAGGAAGAATCAATATCATAAAAATAGCCATAATGCCCAAAGCAATTTAAAGATTCGACACTATTCCTAGCAAACTACCAATGTCATATGGAACCTAAAAAGATCCTAAATAACCAGTGCAATTCTAAGTAAATAGAACAAATCCAGAGACATTGTACTACCAAAGTTCAAACTATACTGTAAGGCCACAGTCACAAAAATAGCATGATACTTGTACAAAAACACACATGTAGATCAATGGTACAGAACAAAAAACCAGGAAATAAAGACTCACACTCACAATCACCTGATCTTCAACAAGGTGGACAATAATAAGCAATTGGGATAGGACTACCTATTTAATAAGTAGTGCTGGGATAGTTGGCTAGTCACATACAGAAGAATGAATCTGGACCCCTAACTTTCACCGTATACAAAGCTAACTCAAGATCGATTAAAGCTTTTAAAATAAGTCCTCAAACTAAAATCCTAGAAGAAAACCTAGAAAATACCCTTCTTGATGTTGGCCATGGCCAACAATTTTTGGCTAAGTCCCCAAAAGCAATTTCAACAAAAACAGAAATTGACAGGTGTGATGTAAACTAAATTGCTTCTGCACAGAAAAATAAACTATTTACAAAGTAGACAACCTATAGAGTGGGAGAAAATATTCGCAAATATATACCAATCACCTTGTATCTGACAAAAGTCTGATATCCAGAATCTATAATGAACTTAAACAAATCAAGAAACAAAAAAAATCTCATTAATAAATAGGCAACAGACGTTAACAGACACTTCTGAATAGAAGACATACAAGTGGCTGAAAAGTTCAACATCACTAATCATCAAAGAAATGCAAATCTATACCACAATGAGATACTATCTCATGCCACTCACAATGGCTATTACTAAAAAGTAAAAAAAAAAAAAATAATAATAACAGATGCCAGCAAAGCTGTGGAGAATAGGGAATGCGTATACACTGTTGCTGGGTATATGAATTAGTTCAGCCACTGTGGAAAGTAGTTTGGAGATTTCTCAAAGAACTTATCATAGAGCTACAATTTGTCCCAGCAACCCTATCATTGCATATATGCCCAAAGGAAACATAGATCATTCTACCACATGGACACATGTACCTAAATGTTCATCATCATGCTGTTCACTACAGCAAAGACATGGAATCAACTGAGGTGCTCATTAGTGGTGGTGGATCGGGTAAAGAAAATGTGGTATAAATACATTATGGAGTACTACAGAGCCATAGAAAAAAGAACGAAATCAGGTCCTTTGCAGAAACATGGTTGCAGTTGGTGGTCATAATAATAAGCAAATTAGTGCAGGAACACAAAACCAAATATGGCATGTCCTCACTTATAAGTGGGAAATAAATACTGAGCACACATGGACATAAACATGGGAAAAACAGACACTGTGGACTACTAGATGGGGTAGAAAAAACGGGTGATGTGAACTGAAAAACTACCTATCATGTACTATGCGTACTACTTGGGTGATGTGATGCATACCCCAAACCTCAGCATCACACAACAGACTCGTGTAACAAACTTCCATATGTAACCTCATATCTAAACTAAAAGTTGAAATTTAAAACAAAAACAAAAGCAAAACAAAGCAAACTAACTAGGTGAGATTATAGATGTGTTAACTGACTTGATCGTTGTTATCATTTCACATAATATACACATACCAAATAATCAGATAGTATACATTAATCACACAATTTTTGAATTATACTTTATTAAACCTTCAAAATAAAAAAAAAGAAAATGTCATTTGGTATAAATAATGCAAGGTCTATCTATCTAATACCAATGAGAGTTGTTTCCTGTTAAGTACAGAGTTTTTGTGAATTATTATGGAATTTTTCCTGCATTTATTGTGAAGTAGTAGTAATCATCGGAAATTGAAATTTGTTAATATTTTTACTTTTGAATATATTTTGGAAATGGAAAGTATAACGAGTTTTTTTCTTTTTATAATTTATCACAATGTACTGAATCTGGGATGTACAAAATCAAATGTGTATTTATTTATTCAATCACTCAAATATGTTTGTAAAGCTTTCAAAATAGGCATTACTCCTTTTTTAATGACGATCACAATCTAGTGGGTAATACCCATTTATTTCCTGCTGTTAATTAGATTGATTAAATGTTACCCTGTGTCCTTGTCTCAAAATGCAAACTCTGTCTACGTCTTTAGTGGAAAATCTGTTAAAATGCTGAGAACTAGTTTTCAGTCAAGTCAGTCAGCCAATGGCTTACATCTTTAGAGGAAAATCTGTTAAAATGCTGAGAACTAGTTTTCAGTCAAGTCAGTCAGCCAATGGCTTACATCTTTAGAGGAAAATCTGTTAAAATGCTGAGAACTAGTTTTCAGTCAAATCAATTGAATAAATAAATACACATTTGAAATGACTTTGTGGGCATTAATAATTCACTTAATCTTTCTGCTTGGTACATTCTCACCTAGATCAGCGTTTCTCAGCCTTGGCTGCAAATTTGTATCATCTGGAAGTAGGACATGATAAAGAGAGAGAGAGCTAGGGATACAGATAGACAGATACAGATAGAGATACAGATAGAGAGATACAGATAGATATACAGATAGTGAACTATCTCTGGGCATGAACAATCTCTGGGCATCAGGTAGAGATAGAGACAGATAGAAAATGAGAACCATCTCTGGGCATGAACCTGAGTATCTAAACTATTAACAATCTTGCCAGCTTACTCTGATGGACAGTTGAGAACCACTGGTCTATGCATGAAGCAATGCTAATCAATTTAAATAAAAATCCCGTAAATATGTGTCTCCTAACACATCGCTATGGTCACATACTTCTTAATTATCATTTATGGCTGTTAGTGACCATTTTCACCTACCTACCACAGATATCATGAGAATAATTAAAATAGCTTGTGGAAGTACATTTAGGGGATTTCTTTAAAATTACAAAATAGAACTTGGCTATAATCATCAAGATTATGACTAAAAAGGAGAAAAGAAATGCAAATTATGTTTTGGTCCTATAATTGGCTGTGTAATAACAATGGATTGACTCTGCATGTACACAGCATAAAGGGACAGAAAATGAGAATCTTAAGCCTGTGTTATTTGACCGAGGCAGTTTCTAAGGAATAATGCACTTTATACACAGACATTACAATACTTCTCAAGGATAAATAACCTACAAGTAATCCTGATTCCAAACGATGTTGCCAAGTACCTTTTGACTTTCATATCAGCTCTGAAGTGACTAGTAAATTGGATTACCCCACTGGGCATATTTATAGCAGTATTTAATTTTAACTACGCAGAATGCACCTGTTTACTTAGACCTGATTTTAATATCAGAGTATCTGTGGAAGGCTTAATACAAATCCTTTTAAGAACTCTATTGACAGAATTTTCCAGCAGAAAAGTTAGTTTAAAAAAGTCAGAAGAGCAGGAACTACATCACTTTGCCTTGATTGGAAGAGACAAAGAGATTTTGAATTATTCTTAGGAAGATTTTTAAAAATCTAAAAATATTTGCTAAATATATGGAAGTGGTAGGTTTTCATTTAATCAACAAATTATTCAAGAAACTACAAATCTTGACTGTTGTTTTACATGAATATGGTACAGTAGGCTAATATATTAAACCATTATTATTAACAAATATGGCTCCTAAGTGACATTAAGAAGAGATAAAAGAAGGGATGAGCAAACCTGTGTACTAAAATACTTTTAAATATATGATAATAAAGTCAAACTAATTTAGCTTACTTTTTGCTTTTTGATATTGCAATAGACTTTTAATTTCTCTGACATTTGAATTCACGCACAAAGTCATCATGTCTCTCCATCCCCATGCTGTGATGTCTCGACTATACCATGAGGAGTTTGATTTCTCCAAAATTTTTAAAATTATTTATTTATTTAATTTTTGCAACAGAATCTCGCTCTGCCACCCAGCCTGGAGTGCAGTGGCATGATCTCGGCTCACTGTGGCCTCTGCTTCCCGGGTTCAAGAGATTCTCCTGCCTCTGCCTCCCGAGTGGCTGGGATTACAGGCGCCCACCACCAAGCCCAGGTAATTTGTGTATTTTTAGTAGAGATGGGGTTTCGCCATGTTAGCCAGGCTGGTCTCAAGCTCCTGACCTCAGGTGATCCCCCGCCTCCCAAAGTGCTCCCAAAGTGCTAGGATTACAGGCCTCCCAAAGTGCTGGGATTACAGGCATGAGCCACTATGCCCGGCTTCCAAATCTTATATAACAGTCTTTCATAAAAAATCTGAAGAATAAATTGTAGTATTTATACTGTGATTATTCTAATTGCTCTGTAATTTCAAATGCAGAAAAACTGGTCAGTTAATGCAGTAGCATGTCTAATACTATGTGGTTAACTAATTGCTCTCCCAACCAATATGTAATTATATTATGAGAAATAAATCTATATATTTATGGGAGTGACAGAAACCTAAATGGACATTTCACTATTTTATTTGCACAGTTAGAATTTGTGGAATTCTAAGTACTAATATAGATTTAAGACATATGTCTTCACACATAGATGTTACTAGATATTATATGTTGTGGGGGAAAATTATTGACAATCAACCCAAACAAAAGCAAAACACTTAATAAAACTCATTGTGGAAGAAATTGAAGATGAGAAAAAATATGGAATATATACATGGCCTTAGTCACTTTTTATATCACTTTTTTCTAATTGTTTGAATGAGATAGTCATATCTGGCCTAGGAAACTCATTCTGTGAGTAAACTCCGAAATAGTGTTGCTAAATTACTTGTTCCTAGTCACAATTTCAGAAAGTGGTAATAGTGAAATTATATTCCAGTTGTTGATTTTCTCTCCAAACCTCTTTTTGCTACAATTGGTTAGCATTATTCAAATCAAAACTTTAGAGTTTAGCCATATAATTTTTATGACTATTGGAGTAATTTTGATTTATAACAGATAATTACTTAATCGCTGGGAATAGGACTTTTGGCAAATTTCATATGAACGTCTTCTGTTTTCAATTACTGAAACATATTTGTAGAATTTACTCAGATTACTCACGGCCAAGACATGCACGCTCCCAATGACTGCTGCTGAGCTTCCTATTTCACAGTAGCCACAACTGTATAAAATATGGCTACTGTGTTATATACCAAACTTTCCTAATCATGATTAAATAATCAAGTTTTATGACTCTCCTCTTTTAGAAGATGCAGTATGAACAAAATCATTATTGAGAAAGACCCTACTATGAATCTGTAGCTCTATTACTGACATCACACATTGTAGTAAGCTGAATGATGGCCCCCAAAGATGTTTGCATTGTTGTCCCCAAAATATGTGAATATGCTACTTGCCATGTTGAATGAGATTTTGTAGATGTGATTAAGTACCTTGAGATGAAGAAATTATCCTGGTTATTCTGTTTGGCATGTAGTCGCATGGGTTCTTAAAAGCAGAGAATCATTCCTGGCTGTGGTCAGAAAGAGAGATGTGACTATGGAAGAATGATGAGAGAGATAAAACTTTGTTGGCTTTGATGCAGGATGGGGACCAAGAGTTAAGGAATGTCGATAGCCTCTAGAAGCTGAAAAAGTCAAGGAAATAAATTATTTCTTCTAGCTTCTAAAGAGGAACACTGTAGCCCTTTCAACATTGGGATTTTAGTTCAGTGAGACCCATGTTGGACTCCTAACTTATAGATCTGTAAGACGATGAACTTTTGTCGTTGTAAGCTGCCAAGTTTGTGGTAATTCAATACTTCAGCAATACAAAAATAATACACAGCTCAAAAGCCTCAGCTATTCAAAAATCTACATTTCAATGTATTATTACCTTTCAGGATCCAGATTGTCAATGGACCTTACCACCAATATCCTCTCCATCTACTCATATATTGTTCAGATAAAACAAAGTATGGGAACTAATCAATCTAAGAGCATACTAAATCTGGGCAAAGGCTGCTTTTCTTTTTTTTTTTTTTTTTTTGAGACGGAGTCTCCCTCTGTCGCACAGGCTGGAGTACAGTGGTGTGATCTCAGCTTACTGCACCCTCCCCCTCCCGGGTTCAAGCAATTCTCCTGCCTCAGCCTCCCGAGTAGCTGGGATTACAGGTGCATGCCACCATGCCCGGCTAATTTTTGTATTTTTAGTAGAGTCGGGGTTTCACCATGTTGGCCGGGCTGGTCTTCAGCTCCTGACCTCAAGTGATCCACCCGCCTCGGCCTCCCAAAGTGCTGGGATTACAGGTCTGAGCCATCGTGCCCGGCCAAGCCTGCTCTTTTTCAGGTGGCCAAGGCAATTTTCAAACGTGATGTGATTTCTCTTATTTTTTACAAACATACAAACCTTGCCTATATGGAATTAGTGTCTGTATTTCAGAAAAATTAAGTTTCTGATTTCATATGTAGAAATTCATAGAATGCAGAAATTCCAAACCTGAATTTCCTAAATATTTTTCATAAGACCTTCTACATAAATAATTCTGATCTATTTAGGGAATAATCTAATTTATTTGAATTTTTTTCTGTTAATCTACTATAAAACAAAGAAATAATATGTGGATTAATTACAATCAGAGATTTTGGTTACAACCATGGATATATTATGAATGTTCACCTCTCAACACTAGATTATAGAAGAAATAAGACTGAAGTGAGGGATTTAGGAGAAATATACTTACATACACAATCATATACATATATTTATAAACATACATATGTGTGTAACACATAGTGTATAAATAATAATTTTATCAATCGCATTTTCACATTTGTTTTTTTTTTTCCTTTTGAAATAGTTCTTTTTTTTTTTATTATACTTTAAGTTTTAGGGTACATGTGCACATTGTGCAGGTTAGTTACATATGTATACATGTGCCGTGCTGGTGCGCTGCACCCACTAACTCGTCATCTAGCATTAGGTATATCTCCCAATGCTATCCCTCCCCCCTTCCCCCACCCCACAACAGTCCCCAGAGTGTGTTATTCCCCTTCCTGTGTCCATGTGATCTCATTGTTCAATTCCCACCTATGAGTGAGAATATGCGGTGTTTGGTTTTTTGTTCTTGCGATAGTTTACTGAGAATGATGATTTCCAATTTCATCCATGTCCCTATAAAGGACGTGAACTCATCATTTTTTATGGCTGCATAGTATTCCATGGTGTATATGTGCCACATTTTCTTAATCCAGTCTATCATTGTTGGACATTTGGGTTGGTTCCAAGTCTTTGCTATTGTGAATAATGCCGCAATAAACATACGTGTGCATGTGTCTTTATAGCAGCATGATTTATAGTCATTTGGGTATATACCCAGTAATGGGATGGCTGGGTCAAATGGTATTTCTAGTTCTAGATCCCTGAGGAATCGCCACACTGACTTCCACAATGGTTGAACTAGTTTACAGTCCCACCAACAGTGTAAAAGTGTTCCTGTTTCTCCACATCCTCTCCAGCACCCGTTGTTTCCTGACTTTTTAATGATTGCCATTCTAACTGGTGTGAGATGGTATCTCATAGTGGTTTTGATTTGCATTTCTTTGATGGCCAGTGATGATGAGCATTTTTTCATGTGTTTTTTGGCTGCATAAATGTCTTCTTTTGAGAAGTGTCTGTTCATGTCCTTCGCCCACTTTTGTTCTTAAAGACACCAAATAAGTCAGTGCCTTCTGTATCTCTTTACAATTTTTGTAGGTTTGATTTTAAATTAAATAACTATATATTTCAGTTTAAAGTTATCAAATCCATGTCTACTATCTGATCATATTTATTTCAGGAAAAAACTCTGTGTATTTGAAATTAATAAACAACCTATAATGTTGTTTACTATGTATTAATCACGATTTTAAAAACGTACAACAATAGCAAACAAACTTGAACAAAGACATGCAACTCATTCCAGAGGAATGAGAGATGTTTTTTCCAAGAAACTAATTTTCATCTCATTATTTATTTTAATGTCTCATTTTTACCAAATTATACAAATAATATGCAAATAAGTGATTAAAATAATGTGACAAAATCATAATGACCTCTAAAAATTATGATGAGCTGCAAAAAGAATACTCATTAACAAGGTTGTACAATTAATTTCATAAAAATGTTCCAAATGCAATTTGGCAGAAGAAAGATGCACAGGTTCCAGAAACAATTTATAGTGTTTATTGAAACATGCATATTTCCCAATTAAAATCCACTGATGAAATTTTTAAAATTTAACTTTTGAATGTCTTTATTCTATTTTATTAGATAGTTCTTTATCTTCAAATATAATACTGATAAATCTGAGGACTTGCCAAGTAATATGCTGTGGTAAGTAAGAATATTGGAATTTGTCCCTGTACTATTCCAGGTAAACATTGATGAGAATAAAAGATATATACAAAATTAAATAATTCAGATATTAAAAATTTAGATAATTAAAGAATTAAAAAAAAACCCAGAAGTATAAACATAGAAACATGCCAAAGTTCTGTAAGAAAGATTCCAAGTAACACATTTGAGAATACATTAAGGAGCAATATTATGAGTACATAAATAATTCTAAACAAAAGATCATTAATGCAAGTGAAAATAAATATTAGGAAGTTTAAGTTCCTACCTTTAGACCAAAGAAGCTAACATAAATTAAGAAAAAATATACAAATGCAGATATAGGGTATAGAGTTCATTAGGTAGCCCCTACTATCAGACTTGTGTTTATTATTCAGTACTGAGGGCATTAGAATCCACAATGGATTAGAGAAAAACATAAACAAAGGACCAGAGCAGTGTAGTCCTAAAGAAAACCTACTATAGATTTGCAAAGTTGCATTAAGTTAGTAGGTAGGGGAAAGGACAGAATACCTGTCTAACAGAACTCCTACCATCCCGTTTTTCTTTTGCTTTCTGTTTGAAATCATTAGTTTATTTCCACAATGCCTCACAAGGATATTGCCCCAAATGAACATACCTGGATGAATTTCATTAAATTATATAGACGTGTAAAGCATATTCATATACATTCTCCCTACATATATAATTTGCCCAATTCTCTGTGCCTGAATATTTGAAAAGGATATTTGATCAGCATCTAATTGGACTATGAGGGAGCTGGTGATAGGTCCTACCGTTCACCAACACTGGGCTCCCTAAATTATAAGGGGACGCAGTGCGGCATAGCAGTTAAGAGTTCCGTTACTCCAGAGTCAGACAGACCAGATTGCAATCTCAACTGCACCACTTACTAAATGTGTGACCTTGGCCAATATTTATATTATCCAATTTACAGCTACTCCAACTGTTGTCAAAACAAAACTAGTTATGATAATGCTCCCTATCTGCTAAAACCACTGTGAAGGTTAAATCAAATAATCCCTGACCGATGACAGACTGATAATAATCCCTGACCGCTGACAGACAGACTAAGAGAGAGGGAGCGAAAGAGAGAGAGAAAGAATGCTATGTGAAACAAAATCTGCAATACTAGCAAAAGAAGAAAAAACCTTTTATATTGGGAAAAAAAGAAAGAATAAGAATTTCAGAAAAATACTGCTTATTTTTCTTAATAAGAGTCTCATAGTTTGGATTTTCTAGAAGTAGAATTTAAGACAGTGATTCATATGCATACATTTTATTGGGCATACTTCTGTCAGACAAGGCCAATTCTTTGGAGTGAGCTGACATCACCTGGCAGCTGGAGATCGCTCACTGACCCAGTAAAGAATATCTAGGTAGGGCACTGTCCAACCCTTGCAAGCCTCAGATGAATATGGCTCTCACATTAAGTTCACCATATCCATGGTTACAAAACGCTGCCCACTCATAGCTCAATGTGGGCAACTGTGCAATTGGCATTATGCTTCAGAGTCAAACTTTATGAAATACATTTTATGTAGCCAAACCTTCCACTAGGAGCTTTAAAAAAACATAAAAATAAAAAGGTTTAAGAGGAAATTTTAATACACTAACAGGCCACTTAGAGAATATTTCAGTGTTCAAATGCAAATTCTTAGCATGGTATGGTTTTTCAATTGTTAAAAAAAATTGAATTCAAAAACTGTATATATAAAATGTTACATTTTTCTCTAAATTAAGAGTCTCAAACTCCAGTGAAATTAATTTTAAAATTCTTAATATCAAATACGTATATTAGCAGTTTTTTAAGATTAAACATAGTCTATTTATTTATGAAGCTGTTTGGACATTTTACTATTTTTCAGGTGAACTATCTGGATTCTGCTTACCTAGACAATGTACATTGGACTTTTGACAGGAATTATTACACTCTTTATCTTTCATGGTGAAATAGTTCTTATTACATTAGACTACTGGTTTAAATTTTAAAAATATTGTAAATGTATGAAACAACAACATACATGGAGAGTTCTATAAATTATATATAATGACAAAGCTTGGGAGATAATTATTGACAATGTTACTGATGCTATACATTAGTTGAATTGCTAATTAAAAATAAATGTCATGGTCAGTGAGGTTTCCCACTTAAACCATGCATTGTGTCTCCTTTGGGTACAACCATTTGATTTTTTAAACGATTTTTTTTCTAATCCATGCATCCATTTTCGTTAATTTGATTTCTTCCTTTTATCCTTCATTACATAAAGTTAGTTTTACCCTGGACTGATTCTCTCTACACTGGATAGTGAAAGGTAGTCTGAGAGATTAATCTTGTATTCATTTTTTCATATTGCACATTAGGGACTTAGTTCATTTTATACTCATAACAGACTCTCACAGACTTGTTAATTTATAATGAACCATGGTTCGTGGTTCTGGAGACTGGAAATTCAAATGCATAGCAACGGCATCTGGTGAGTGCCTACATTCTCTGTCATCCCATGGCAGAAAGCAGAAGGTCAAGAGTAGGCAAAAGCAAGCGAGCAAGAATGGGCCAAACTTGTCTTTATAACAAACCCATTCTCATAATTAACTAACCCACTCCAAGGAAAATGATATTAGTCCATTCATGAGGGCAGAACTCTCATAATTTAATCACCTCTTATTAGGCCCTAACTCCCAACACCATTACATTGAGAATTAGGTTTCCAACACATAAACTTTGGGGGACACATTCAAACCATAGCAGGTATATAATTAAATTAATGGTTTTGTCTAGCTCTGAATTACTAGATATGGCAGAAAATCATTTCTACAGTTGAGATTTTAAATGTAGAGCATCTTGAATTCCTTTATTGTTTTTATATGCAAGTTCTCTTTATGTATCAGTGAAGAGGGGCTAAAATATTACAGAAAATTGCTTCAGACTGATGATTAGTAAATTGCAAAGCTTGTAATGGTTTATCTGAGCAGGGTAAGCTATTCTAAGCTCACTACCTCTTATTAAATAATGTGGAGAGTTCAACAAAACAGAATTTTAATCAAATTATAAATACTTATGGGTAGTTGGCTCTCTTTCTCCCCTTAGTATTCATTTGGATTTTAAAATTGTTTTAATTGAGAAAAACTGACATTGCCCTGACTTGCCTACCCTTTTCTTTGCAGCTGAAATTTCAATGCTACAGAGAAGAGAGAACAAGATAAACATGTTTCTTCATCTTAATGTACCTCTGTATAAGTTCTTGCATTCAATTACACATAATCAATGTATAGAATGTTCCTCATACAATGGGCATTCCACCTTGTATGTGCACACATGGATTAAAAATATAACTTCTGTACAAATTATATTGACAGCTTCTGTGTCTTACCTTTAAAGACATGCACATGTTTGCATTTCCATTTTTGGAGGATGGACATTTAATTACAATTTTAGATTTATGGTCCACCATAAGGGAAATAACATAGCTAAAAATGAAAGAAAAAGATTCCGAGCTTAATTTCTGGGTGATGTAATGTTATGTACAACAACCCCCCCATGACATGTGTTTATCTATATAACAAACCTTCGCATGTACCCGTAAACCTAAAATATAAACTTTTTAAAAAGATTGATTCCAACATTAGGAAGTCAATGTTTCTTCTTTAAATTGCAATCTAGAGAAAGATGCTACTATAGTTTTGCTTTATTATTATATTTGTATTTTAATATTTTACTATAAAATGTATTTTATTATGATTATAATAATTTTTAATTAAACATCTCAATAACAAAGTCCTCACAATTTCATATATGTCCGTGATATACTAAAGTTTCTGCAAGTATTGAAAAGTGCTTAAAATGAGAAGCAACATATATGTTGTTGATTATCATCCAAAGGCTATGGGTAAAAAAGCAAGGAGTGCTCTAGAAGGGCAAAAAAACAGACTGGACATAGAAAGACTCTCACCACACTGACAAAAGGTCCCTATTATATTTTTAAATTAAAAATAACAATAATTATTATATGCATTCATTCTTAAATACTACCTAGTAAACACACATTTTTAATCAGTGATTGGATTCCATCATTCTCAACCCTTCTGTAACCTTTAAAAACTTAAGACATGTTTATCTTGCCTATCCAAACAACAATGAGATGGTATCAATGGAGCATACAGAATACTTTGGTTTGTGTTGATATGTTAAAAACAAGAAAACAAACAAAAAACCAATTGATTTTTATTTTAGGACAGACAGTGGAACAAAGATATAAAATAATATATGTCATAAACCTTTGCACAGCAGTGCTGACGTGATCTTAACATCTGCCTATATTATAAAAAGGAAGTTAAGCTTGAATATGAAATGTGAAAAAAATAGCCTATTCAATTAAAAAGACTGATTTGGGAGATGAACATTAAACACTAAGCAAATGCCCTTAGTGAGTTAGCAGGTGGTTAAAGAAATTACAGCAAAACGGTGAACTCCAGAGTCCTGAAGGGGTAATCAGCACAATGCCTGAGATGAAATGGTTAGGAAGCAGACTGTGATGTCTATTGCCAGAAAGATGATCAATGGTACGAGATATTTTGCACTCGAATTAGACAATAATGTGGCTCTTCCTACTAAAGCAGTAGAATAAAACATCATCTTTCACTTCAGCTCCTGGAGAAGATGATAATGTTTTTAGCAGAGTTCAAAAGGAATAGTGACTCAGGTTTTAGAGAGAGCTGCCAGGTGAAGCAAACAAGCAAAACAATTGCATGTTTAAAAAATTAAACAAGTAGCCAACATTTGGAAAATTATATTATGGAAAAGAAAAACCTTTCCAAATTTGCAGGATAAAGTCTCTGAAAGTGTCGAAAGGGACTTAAAATGAGAAGCTACAAATATGTTCATTATCGAACAATGGCCATGGGTAAAAAAGCAAGGAGTGCTCAAGAAGGGAAGAAAAACAAAATGGAAGAGACAGACTAACACCACACGGATAAACAGACTTTATTATATTTTAAAATTATATACAGTAATTATTATTATACATTCATTCATAAATTCTATATAAGTAAACATACATTCTAATCACAGTGTTTGAATTCCATTTTTCTCAAAACACACACACACACACACACGAAAAGCCTGTAACCTTTGAAAGCCTAAAATGTAGGAGTTCCTCCACGTACTCACTTCATAGTTCAGATGGATCTTACCAGATTATTAGCAACAAGAATTCAGTGCCTATATCACAGTTAAAATTATAGTTAAAATATTTAATAGAGGGACACCCACCCTCAATGCGGGTGGGCACCATCCAATTGGTCAGGGGTATGGATAAAACAAAAATGCGTAGGAAAGCTCACTCTCTCCTGGACCTAAGACACCCTCCTTCTGGTGCTTTTGGACATCCAAACTCCAGGCTCTCTGGCCTTGGGATTCCAGGAGTTGCAAAGTGGCTGTCTGAGTTCTCAGGCCGTTGGCCTCTGACTGAGAGTTATACCATCAGTTTCCCTAGTTCTGAAGCTTCAGGACTTGGAGAAAGCTACTCTACTCTCTTCCCTGGTTCTCCAGCTTGCAGACAACCTATCCTGGAACTTCTCAGCCCCCATAATCGCATGATCCAATTCCTCTAATAAATGTAGAGATCTCTCTCTCTCTCTCTTTCTCTCTCTCTGTATGTGTATGTATATGCATGTGTATATATATATATGTATACGTGTAGGTTCTGTCTGAGAGAACCCAGCCTAATACATCATGCAGCATATTATCAGAATAAAATTTGATAATGTATGTACAATGCTGAACACAGCATCTTGTATTTAAAAACATATTCAGCATCGAGTTACTGTAACTGCTGTCATTGATGCCTCTTCTTCTAAAATGAGATGCCATCACTTGTAAAATTATTTTTAAAAGATATATTTTTAAATGAAGAAGTCTTTTTATATGTCAAATAATTTACTTTAGATGTTTAAAATAGTATAGCTCACAAAAAATGTTGGCTCATAACAACTTCTACTGAGTATGTAAGAAAATGGTTTTGAAGTTCAATCTTTTTTTAAAAAAAAGATGAACGTATTCAAAATTTACATGAACACTCAGCTATGTATACTATAAATATTTTCCAAACTCCATGAGCTGATTAATTAAAACAGATCCTCTAGCCAGGAAGACAAGCATATGAATACAACAGTCTTTCTTTTATCAATTCTCCTGAAATATCTAGTGTAGCACATAATAATTTTTATATATGAGTGAAGGTGGTTTCTATGTCCAATTAGCAATAACTGTGCCTCAGGTCATCTTCATTGACTATGATACTGCCACTCTGAAAAGCTGTCTACATCCAAATATTAATTTAATTTGGCAAAAAAACAGGCAGGCTTAGAAAGTGTTTTAGAACAGGACAATTAAATAATATAATATTTTCTATAATATTTCATTTTCTTATTTCTTCTCAAGATCCCACGACAATGGATATAGTTGCTTTTTTATCTCAAGAAGTATAAATTTTACAAACATAAAAGGTATGTCTCCCTTCAATATTTCCTCTTAATGCTGAGTGCAAAATTGGTTCAGAAAGAAAATTGCTGACATTAAGCTAGGATGTGACTTGGCAACTGATTGCAACATATTTCTATAGGATGCTGTGGGATGTACTGAAAAAAGGATGTTTTAGACCCAGAGAGACTGTTGCTCTGTTCCCAGGGAAGTGGAAAAAAAACAAAAAACAAAAAACTTAATCTTGAGCTCTAGTTCTTGACTTATATAGAACATGGAATAAAGAAAAAGTTTTCTGTTCATCTCTATACTTCAGTAAGTGGAGCAATATTATTGGCTTTGCATCATTTCATCAATTAAGGAAGGTCTTATAATAGCATACTTCAACTCTTTTAAATATTAGACAATGGGTTTATTCACAAAGTATTTTTTATAAACATATGTTTTAGGCATAAAGTTTATTCATCCAAAATAAAGATTCCCATATTTCCATCTACTATGATTTTTCAATCATACTTAGTATTAACCAATAATAATTTATACTCCACTACTGATACTTGCTAATTGAATTACACTTCTGATGATCATTTTTTTTTCAAATGACATAGTGAGAGTTATGATCGGTTATTTGGGTTGTAAGGATTGAAAACATACCTAGATCATATAAATTTGTGAAGGTTTTGCCATCACAAGCATTATAGGGAATAATGAACATCAACTATCCTACAGCTAAACCTAATGAAGACCAAATTGCCTCCAAGGTCAAAACAATAGTTCTTTGTGCTCAAAAGTGGTTCATATAATTGATGCTGCATTGACGCTGTCTATAGAGATTCTAGTTTTCTCCACATTTTCTCTATTTTTCAATTTCCTTTCTTTTCACTGGGGTCTATTGTTCTTTAACAGAAGTAATGGCCTTTTGTAAATATATAATTTTCACGTTGTAAGCATTCTTTCCAAGCTAGCTGCCCATCATCACGTTTTGGCTAGTCCCAGTCTCTGCTCATAGAACACTTGTCCACACTCTAAATTCTCTCTGTTCTCCATAGCCCCCACTCATCTAATTCCTATAGTCTTTTAACTCAAAGCCTTCAACTTATGTACAGCTTTCTCTGCCTCATGTTTCAAGCTTAATGCATCATCTTAATTCATCTTTCGACATCTATTTCTACTACATGCTGCTCTCTTTCTCTATCTTATATCTCCCAGAATATGTTTTATTTCAACAAATCGCTAATCTGTGCCAGGCATTGTTATTAGCAAAATGATAAGTCCTGCATGTAGCAAAGTTCCTGCCTTCACTGCATATGCATTAATAGCTCTGATTAGTCCACTTAAAAACCATTGTTCCTGTCATGCAGAACTCCATTGCCAAGCCACACAACAGCCAGCCAGTAGGTCAGCAGCTCCGTGGAGCAAGGTAAACATGTTGATTCAATTGACTTTGGGCAGAAGGGTAAGATTTTGTCTTCAGCTTTTCTCATGAGGAACATATACAACCCAAATGGAAAAACCCTGTATCCTCCTGCCCAAGCAAATAATTCGATAATAAATAATAGCTTCCACTAAAATATAATGAAGTGGTTACTTTGATAGGTAATAAAGTATGTGTTGTTTTCCTTTAGTTTTCTTTTAAAAATGTATGTTAACCTTGCTTCAGTTTGGTTTTCCAGAGTATCCTGCATAAATGGATACAAACCACATTCACTTTGCTATGTGGATGGGGGAGATGCAAAAGGTGTCTTCAGTGCATGCCCAGATATTCCCACATGTTGAACCTTCCACTTAGCTCCCAATAAAACATGTTTCTTTTTTCACAACTAGGAGAGCTCTCCTTTTCATACCTCTGCAGTGACATGATGGCATACTAAATAGAGAAGTAAAAGGTTCATATGAAACTGTAATGTAAATATTATTCACATATTGAAATTCTGTAAACAGTATTAATATTTTTCCTGTGATGCTTTTAAATTTTAATATTCTGTAAAGTATATTTTAAGCATTCACAATTTGGATTTATTCATGATAAGAGTATATTTTACCTATAATAGTTTGGGAAATATATACATATGTGTGTGTGTGTGCATGCATGTGTGTGTGTGTGTATTAATATATTTTCCTTGAGACTAGTAGTGAAGGCAAAGTTCTGAAACTGAATTTGCCAAAATGGGATTAGATGTGTGAGGGATTTATTTGGATAAACACTTTTGCAAGGTGAGGTGGAGGAAGCAGGAATAGACACAGCCTTCAGCCACAATACTTGTAAACCTTATGAAGGAGGAAAGAAAATAAAAAAGGTTAGGTAAAATGAGTTTCAGATAGTAGCACAATACTTAACATATTTTGGCAGGCCAATGGAGAGTTATCAAGCCAAAGTTTTCCTCCATATTGAGCAGGAACAGCACCTCACTATGCTTTGTCATTGGCTGACAACAGCTGTGAGGTGGGGATTTTGGACTATAGGTAGTGATGGATACAAAGATGAACCCCAGGAGCTGTCAGTCAACTGTGATAGTCACTAGGGGAGTGAAGCAGTCTCATGACAGTTACAAGCCTTGACCTTTTATTTTATACTAAAGTAAAATATAACTTTATTATGAAGACCATCGGGCCACCTAGTTACTATATACCAGTTGCTATGGTCTGAATGTGTCCCTCAAAATTCATGTGTTGGAAAATTAATTCCCAATGCAACAGTGGGAGGAGGTGAAATCCTTTGGGAAATGATTATGTCATGATGGTGGCATCCTCATAAATGAATTAATGTCACTACAAAAAGGCTTGAAAGAGGGAGTTTGGTCCCTATTCCCACCTTCGGTTCCTTCCTTCATGAGAAGATACAGTATTTCTTCCCCATGGCGGGTGCAGCAACAAAGTGCTCTCTTAGACGCAGACACTGAACTATAGGTGACTTCATCTTGGATTTCCAGCCTGCAGAACTGTGAAAAATCAATTTCTGTTCTTTATAAATGACCAGGTAGTAAATATTTTGTAATAGTAGCACAAATGAATAAACACAATTGTGAGGAAATTATTTCTGTAACATTTTACATAACAAAATTCAGCATTTTATAGGTTAGTCTGTGAAGTAGAGTTATTTATTTATTTACTTGAAAGTTCTACTAATCTGCATGTCCCTGATAATTAAAGATGTTGAGCATATTTTTTAATGGACCTGTTGGCCATTTGCATATCTTCTTTGAAGAAATGTCTGTTCAAATCCTTTGCCCATTTTTAAATCAGATTATGCATGTTTTGCTATTAAATTGTAGGAATTTCTTATATATTTTAAAAATTAATCCATTATCAGATATATGGATTGCAAGTATTTTCTCTCATTTTATAGATTGCCTTTTCATTCTGTTGCTTGTATCCTTAGCTGTGTGGAGGTTTGCTTGGTTTTTGTTTTTCTTGTTTGTTTTTAGTTTGATATAGTCCAACTTGCCTATTTTTTGCTTCTGTTTCCTGTGCTTTTGATGTCATATTCAAAAAGTCATTGCAAATAGTAATATCAAAATGATATTACCTCACTCTTGTTAGGATGTTGATTTTCAAAAAACCAAAAGATAAATGGTGAGGATATAGGGAATTTGGAACCCCTGCACACTGTACATTGAGAATGTACAATGATACAGCAACTATGAAAACAGTATGGAGGTTCCTCCAAAAGCTAAAAATAATAGAATTACCAGGCGATCCAGCACTCTTATTTCTAGATACATATCCAAAACAATTAAAATCAGGATCTTGTAGAGATATCTGCACTCCCACATTTATAGCATCGTTTTTCACAATAGCCAAGATATGGAAATAACCCATGTCTCTGCCCATTGGCAGATGAATGGATAAAGAAATTGAGGTATATACATACAATAGAATATTTTTCAGTCTTAAGAAGAAAATCCTGATATTGGTGACAATATTGATGAACCTAAGGGATCTTATGCTAAGTGAAATAAGCCAGTCACAAGAGGACAAATACTGCAGAATTCCACTTATATGAGGTATCTGTAATAGTCAAACTCACAGAGGCAGAGAAGACCACAGTAGTTTCCAAAGGCTCTGGTGTGGGGTAATGGGAAGTTTTTCAAGGAATATGAACTTTGTTGTGCAAGATAAATACATTTTAGAGAGCGGCTGTTCAATATAGTGCCAATAGTTTATACTATAATATTGTGCATGTCAAAATTTGTTGAGGCTGGGTCTCAAATTCAGTCTTCTCACCACATACATACACACATAAGGGGTTTAAAATAAATTTCAGGGGGTCTTGGATATGTTTATGTGAATCATATCCAAGTGACTGTGGTGACAGTATCGGGGGTGTTTGCAGATGTTTAAACTCATTAAAGTATACAAGTTAAATATGTGCAGTTCTCTGTATATAAATTACCCTTCAAATAGCTGTTAATAAAGTGCTCTTTAATATCATTGAAAGTGCATTAACTGAAAATTCAAACTTCAGAAAATATATTAATGGTATGCAGTCATTAGTTGGTATAATTTCCTACGGTGATAACATCTCTCTCCTTAAATTCAGTACATAAGAATTGATACCAACTGCAGTTAAACAGTGTCCACCTTATTTTGTTATATTTTACATATCAATGTGTTCAAAACCCCAGAATTAAAATTTAAAGAATCTTAGAATATTTTCTCACTTATTGACAGAATTACAGATTCAATTTTTCTGATAGTTTATATTCAGCCATTACTCCAACTATCCCAGAGATCGAGGGAGGTCTCAGTAACTTATGAAGCATCATTATGTATTAGACATATGATGGTTAAAATGCCAGCTCTTCAATTTTTCCTTTATTTAAAATGGGTTCCAGGCACACACTGCTGTGACAGCCCTTCCTTTGTAAAGAATAGAATCTGCGAACCTTATTCTCAAATTTTAAACCTAGAGCTGTATCCAAAAGCTACCTATAAAGTCATTTATTATGGGTTTTGCTTGACTCATTCTGAATACCACAGGGTAGTTTTAGAGTTTAGGGTTTCCACCAAGATATTTTCATTAAGCATATACTAAAATAGAGTTTTCTTACTGAATTTTTTTCAGCAAGTTTATAAATCTCAGGTGCAGAGCTTTCTGTAAGTTATTAATCAAAAATTAACTTTGTGAATATATCTACAGTATAATATATATACATAAATATATTATATACTATAAATTCTGAATTCCTGAAATTAAATACTAGTTTTATTATTAAGTCAATTGTCTAATTTCCCCTGGTAGGGACATCTGTATATTTCTAAACCAAACATTCCATTTTGTTATGTGTATCAGTTAAGATGACCTATACTATACTGCAGTAATAAATAACTTTCACATCTAAAACCAATTCAGTCTCTATAATAAGTTTACAAGGAGACTTAGTCATTTAGGAAGACAGCTGATAAAAACTCTGTCACAACTCATGCTAATACAGCTCATAAGGGACCATGGGAAGGCCTTGTAAAAATTCCTTCTATTCAAATGACATTGGTCAAAACAAGTAAAGTGATTTCATTTACCTTCAAGCAGGATGAAATACTGCCATCTTATTATTTGTATAGTATGAGAAAAACTAAAGTATTTGTGAGCAGCCTAATAGTTACATGATTGATAACATTTGTATTCACAATAGTGCCAGTAATAGAACCCAGAAGTATATTATTTTTCCTTTCAAACTACCCATAAACGTACCCATTGATTAATCATTGTGGGTATATTTATTCAACGAAGAATATAGCACATAATACTTCCATCTGGTTTGATATTTTCTATGTGTGCATCAGAATTTCATGAGACGTTGTCAAATGTTATAATAAAATTAATAAGCTGAAAGCCCATGCATGACATTTAATCTATTCCAAAAGAATGCCATTATGAAACTTAGGAAATATAGTAATCAATCTTATCCATAGAGGATACATTCCAAGACCCCCAGTGGTTGCCTGAAACTGTAGGTAGTTCAAATCCTATATATACTGTACTATGTATTTTTTTTCTATAAATACATAGCTATGGTAAAGTTTAATTTATAAATTAGGCATAGTAAGTAACAACAATAAAAATGATAAAATAGAACATTTATAATGTACTGTAATAAAAGTAGATGAATGTGGTCTCTTACTCTCTCTCAAAATATCTTGTTGTTATACACTCACCTATTTTTAGACCTCAGTTGAATGCTGGTTAACTGAAACCAGGGAAAACAGCCATGTACCCGGGGTTGGGGGGGGCGCGGGGGGAACTAAACATGCTTTCTTTATTCTGAAGTTCTGAAAATCCTAATAATTGAGTAACTTTATTCTTTCCCTGTGTAACTCCAGGCAATTTATTGAACCTCTATGCACCTAAGATTCAGGGATGCAATGAGAATGATAAAACTGCTCTATCAGCTGATTTATGTGAGAATTAAATCAGCCAATGCATGTAAATTCCTTAACTTGGTCCCTCACAGAAAATTCTTTAATGTGTTAACCAATACTCTGTATGAAGTGAATGATATCATGTATATTATTTTGCAAACTCCTATTTTGCATATAGGTGCAGACATAGCTTCAGGTAAATACATGCAAACTAACTTATCTTTTAATATCTTAAAATTTTTCCATTATAAGGATACAAAAACTATTCTACCAATTACCTGTTGAAGAAACTCATGTTTAATTCTGGTTTATTTTGCCATCATAAACAATGCTGTGAAAGCATTCTTGTATATCGAGGATAACATATATGCCTTTACTTCTGTAGGATAGATTCTTTTTAAAAATATTTTAACTTTTATTTTAGGTTCAAGGGTGGACTTTTAATCTAGGTGCTGAGACTAGCACATATGTATACTTTTGCACTATGAAAATATCAATAATTTTTTTCTCCAAGTGCAGTAACTTACAGTTTCACTAAAGTATATAAGATTTTCCAGGTTCATTGAAATTCCCTAAGAAATACTATACACTCTTATGATAAAAAATATATGTATAAAATTTATATTAGATTTCCGCATGTATGAATTTAATAAAGCAACTTTATAATTTTGCCAGAAGCCCAGCACAGTGCCTAGAATGTATAATTTCACAGTATATTTTAGTTAAAATATTATAATTATGCCAATTGAGGGATGTATAATATTAGTAATAAACACTGAAATTACAAATATACTACTTCTGATATTATCAGGCCTAACAAAAACAAACTTGGTTGAATGTTATAAAATCAGTTACACATAAAAACATTATTATTAGCTATTACCCACTACATATTTTTCAAAATTCTGTTGTTGATTTAACTCATTTGCTAGATTAATATAATCGTCTCATTCAAGACCATAAAATCAATTTCCCATTTGTTTTATTTTATCTATATCTATGACAAACACTTTAAACCAAAATTTGAAGTGAATGTATTATAAAATAATTAGTATAAAATAAAAGCTATTCAAAAGACATATACTTCTATTGTATGGATATGTAAAATGAGTAAGAATGAGTAAAATGAGTAAGAAAAACTTTTTGTGTTAGCCACTGGGATTTTTGGTTTGTGTATTACTTTAGCATATTATCTCATTTTGAATGCTATAGTTTAGGACACTAGTTTAAACTACTGAAGTTAAAATGTTCTTATTTCAGAGGATAGAAGGATCTTACAGTGACAGACATCCATCAGTAAGAATTAATTTCTAGAGATAAAGTGAATACAGTAACCAAAGTGTCAGTAGAGTCAGCATGGTCAAAATAGTCTACATGGGAAATGTTTGGTGGCTCTTAGTTGATCATGGAGTCTCTAGAACCAAAAGTTAGGAATGCCAATTAAGTTTCGATTTGGCTTATATGATCTCAAATCTTCAGGTTTACAAAACATATCTTGAGCCACCACCCAGCTCTGTCACCCAGGCTGGAGTGCAGTGGCACCATCTCAGCTCACTGCAGCCTCCGCCTCCGAGGTTTCAGCAATTCTCATGCCTCAGCCTCCTGAGTAACTGGGACTACAGGTACTCACCACCATGCAGGGATTTTTTTTCTAGTTTTTTGTGGAGACACGGTTTCACCATGTTGGCCAGGCTGCTCTCGAACTCCTGACCTCATGATCCACCCACCTCGGCCTCCCAAAGTGCTGGGATTACAGGCGTGAGCCACTGCGCCCGGCCCATTTTTTCTTTTCACCCACCTCGGCCTCCCAAAGTGCTGGGATTACAGGCGTGAGCCACTGCACTGAGCCTACAGCTCATTTCTTACCACATAAAGCTTTGCACCTCTCCACAAAACTGCCATCAGGGATGTCCCCAGAAACCATTCATCCCAGGTGCCACGCAGAGAAGAGTTTCTTGTTCTCCTTTTCCCTTTACCTCTTCCCTCTCACCTCATCATGTTCATTCATTCATCCCTTTTCCATTCTCACTTTTAAGCTTTAACCTTTCAAAAGCCTATCTTCCCCTATAAGTAATGTATTGTAACTCCCGCCATCACCATATCCTTCTCCAACCAACCAAACTGCCATCCTGAGTTTACGGAAAGTCCATAAACTAAGAAGAAATGGGAAACATTCATTGCTAACTTGGCAGCCCCTCATCCACCCTAGGTGAGAGCACAGATCTTATTGTCTTTGAAGACCCTTTCTTTTTTTTTTTTTTTTTTTTTTTGAGAAGCAGTCTCACTGTCGCCCAGGCTGGAGTGCAGTGGCACAATCTCGGCTCACTGCAAGCTCCAACTCCTGGGTTCACGCCATTCTCCTGCCTCAGCCTCCCGAGCAGCTGGGACTACAGGCGCCTGCCACCACGCCCGGCTGATTTTTTTTGTATTTTCAGTAGAGACAGGGTTTCACTGTTAGCCGGGATGGTCTCGATCTCCTGACCTCATGATCTGCCTGCCTCGGCCTCCCAAAGTGCTGGGATGACAGGCATGAGCCACCATGCCTGGTCTGAAGACTTTTAAATGCTGCCATATTCAAGACACGTTGAAACTCACCTGTATTCGATGAGCCTGCTTTTCGCAAATGAGTAACATAAAACAGACTGAAATACCTTAAGCTTCTCAGCCTTTTACCCTCCTCTGGAATAATGAGTGTATCCCAAAAGTAAATTCATAATGAGGTCCAGTTTTTCCTTCCTCCTTGGCTATGAAATAGACAAGAAAAAGGCAAGCTAGCCATTTCCATCTCACTATAGCAGACTCTCATGCTTGCTTTTTGACTGTATGTGGGAAGCGGGGGCCTGGCTGCTTTCCTACTTCCTAAGCACAACTTACTTTTCCTAGGAAATTCTCAACGCAACCTACATGGAATAAACCAGCTTTCCCCCTTTGTTTCCAATATTCTTACAGCCAAAATGTCCAGAATGGGCAAGGCAACCTGAAAAAATGAGGACGGGTACATTATCCCATGCGCTAAACTGCCACTTACACTGGTTAGTCATGAAATCGGCAAAATTCCAGATGAGCTCTCCAACCACGTATTTTCTGCGTTTTTGATCCAGACCCAGATGGTACTGCTCTAGCAGACTTTTCTGGTACTCTTCACTGAACATCAGAGGTGGATCCTGGGATTCAAGGCAAAGAGAATTAAGAGTAAGGACTGGCAGAATTGTAAATGTTAGATAAAAATAAAGATCCACTTGATGGTGACCAAAATATCTGTCCTCACTGGGGGGCTGTAGTGACTGCAGGACTCACTGATGCTAGGGTAAAGACAGCCAGGGAGAAACTGGAAATCATCATTCTCAGTAAACTATCGCAAGAACAAAAAACCAAACACCGCATATTCTCACTCATAGGTGGGAATTGAACAATGAGATCACATGGACACAGGAAGGGGAATATCACACTCTGGGGACTGTTGTGGGGTGGGGGGAGGGGGGAGGGATAGCATTGGGAGATATACCTAATGCTAGATGACGAGTTAGTGGGTGCAGCACACCAGCATGGCACATGTATACGTATGTAAGTAACCTGCACAATGTGCACATGTACCCTAAAACTTAAAATATAATAATAAAAAAAATACAAAAAAAAAGACAGCCAGGGAATGATGTAACCCAGAATTAAAAAGGAGGTTTAAAAAAAAACATCAATTAGTAACTGCTTTATTTATAAATATAATCTGATACTCAATTTTTCTTACTTTTCTGTCTCTATCTGCTGATACAGTCTTAAGGCTGAACTACACTAGAAAGAAAAATATGTCTTTAGGTCAGGCGCGCTGGCTCATGTCTGTCATCCAAGCACTTTGGGAGACCGAGGTGGGAGGACTGCTTGAGCCTAGGAGTTCAAGACTAGCCTACAAAAAGTACAAAAGTTAGCCAAGCATGGAGGCACACACCTGTGGTCCCAGCTACTTGGGAGGCTGAGGTGGGAGGACTGCTTCAGTCCCGGAGGTCAAAGCTGTGGTGAGCTGTGTTTGCACCACTACACTCCAGCCTGGGTGACAGAACAAGACCCTATCTCATGAATGAATGAATGAATGAATGAATGAATGTAAAATGAAATTAAACTAAACCAGGCTGGGCATGGTAGCTCAGGTCTGTAATCCCAGCACTTTGGGAGGTCGAGGCAGGAGGACCACTTGAGCTCAGGAGTTCAAGATCAGCCTAGGAAACACAGTGAAACCCAGTCTCTATAAAAAGGCTAAATATTTGCTAGGTGTAGTGGCGCATGCCTGTGGCTCCAGCTACTTGGGGGGCCGAGGAGGAAGGATCACTTGAGCCCAGGAGGTTGAGCAGTGAGCTGTGATTACGCCACTGCACTCCAGCCTGGGCAACAGAGTGAGGCTGTCTCAAAAAAAATTTTTTTTTAATTAAACCAAATAAATTCAGTTATCTAGTCATACATCAAGACCTCAATAGCCACAAGTAGCTAGTGGCTACCATTTCAGACAGTGCAGACATGGGGCATTTCCATCATTGCAAAGGTTCTTTTTTGAAACAAGGTCTCACTCTGTCACCCAGGTGGGAGTACAGTGGTGCAATTATGGCGGACTGCAGCCTTGACCTACTGGGCTCAAACAGTCCTCCTACCTCAGCCTCCCAAGTAGCTGGGACTAGAGGCAAGCACGACCATACCCAACTATTTTTTTTTTTCTTTTTTTTGAGACGGAGTCTTGCTCTGTCGCCCAGGCTGGAGTGCAGTGGCACAATCTCGGCTCACTGCAACCTCCACCTCCCCAGTTCAAGCGATTCTCCTGCTTTAGCCTCCTGAGTAGCTGGGATTACAGGTGCATGCCACCACACCCAGCTAATTTCTGTGTTTTCTTAGTAGAGACGGGGTTTCACCATGTTGGTCAGGCTGGACTTGAACTCTTGGCCTCGTGATCCACCCACCTCAGCCTCACAAAGTGCTGGGATTACAGGTGTCCGCCACTGCACCCAGCCACAACTCATCTTAAATATTTTGTAGAGATGGGGTCCATGTTGTGCAGACTGGTCTCAAACTCCTGGGCTCAAGAGATCCTCTGACCTCGGTCTCCCAAAGGGCTAGCATTCCAGGTGTGAGCCACCACACCCAGCACTGCAGAGGTTCTATCAATGCTCACCTAGACCCTCTCGAGTTTCTTAAGAATTCAGAACTGAGGCTGGGCATGGTGGCTCATGCCTGTAATTCCAGCACTTTGGGAGGCCAAGGCAGGTGGATCGCTTGAGGTCAAAAGTTCAAGACCAGCCTGACCAACATGGTGAAACCTCATCTCTACTAAAAAAAAAAAAAAAAAAAAAAAAAAAATTCGGTGAGCATGGTGGTGCATGCCTGTAATCCAAGCTACTTGGGAGGCTGATGCAGGAGAATTGCTTGAACCTGGGAGGTGGAGGTAGCAGTGAGTCAAGATTGCACCACTACACTCCAGCCTGGGCGACAAGTGAAACTCCTCCTCAGAGGAGAAAGAATTCAGAGCTGGTTACATTTTCAAAGAGAATAAACAAGGGTGCATATCCACAAACCATTTCCCCCTACTTGACTAGTTTGCAGAAGTGTCATTCTGTAAGCACGATAAATTTAAGGGTGCAAACAGAACAGTGCAGTCCACTGTGGGTGGCTGTTCCCTGTGTGTCAACGGGAGTCCCAGGAGCTGTGAGAAAAGAGTGTGAGCTGGCTGGGGAGGGGACAAGGGGCTGGATGGGGTTCAGGAATCCACATGAAAAAAAACCCACAAGACAAAGCAACATAACTTTGGTGAGAAGGACAAAAAATGAGATGGATAAACAAATGAGGACAGGCCAGGCATGGTGGCTCAGGCCTGTAATCCCAGGATTTTGGGACGCCGAAGCAGGCAAATCACTTGACGTCAGGAGCTCGAGACCAACCTGGCCAACATGGCAAAACCCCACCTCTACAAAAATACAAAAATTAGCTGGGCATGGTGGCGGGTGCCTGTAATCCCAGCTACTTGGGAGGTTGAGGCAGGACAATCGCTTGAGCCCAGGACATGGAGGTTGCAGTGAGCTGAGATCACACCATTGCACTTCAGCCTGGGTGACAGAGTGAGACTCCATCTCAAAAAAAAAAAAAAAAAAAAAAAAAGACAAAGTGAGTGATTAAACATGGCTCTAAGATCTCACCCATGCCCTCAATAGGTATTATTTAGCATGTGCTGTGTCAGCTATTGCAGAGTACCTGGGAAACAACAATAAATAGGACTCCTGTCTCCTGAGCCCACAGTCCGATCAAAGAGAGAGCCAAAGAAATAACAACAGTGCCTGGCGAGAATGTTGGGAGAGCCAGGTTCTGGCTGCAACAGGGCAGAGCATGGGGAAGGTTCCCTCCGCCTGGGGCAGGCGGGGTAAACCTCCCCACAGAGGGGACAGCTATGAGGAGACTCAGACGCCAAATAGGAATCTTTTCAGCCACGTGTCGTGACTCATGCCTGTATTTCCAGTACTTTGGGAGTCCAAGACAGGAGGTGAAGACCAGCCTCATAGTGAGACTGCATCTCTACAAAATATTTTAAAACTAGGCTGCACATGGTGGTGCACGCCTGTAGTCCCAGCTACTCAGGAGGCTGAGGCAGGGGAATCGCTTCAGCCCAGGAGTTCGAGGCTGCAGTGAGCTATGATGACACCACCACACTCCAGCCTGGGCAACAGAACAAGACTCTGTCAGGAAAAAAATAAAAAATAAAAAAAAGGCTAGCACAGTGGATCACACCTGTTAATCCCAGCACTTTGAGAGGCCAAGGCAAAAAGGTCAATTGAGTCCAGGAGTTTGAGACCAGCCTGGGCAACACAGCAAGACCCTATCTCTAAAAAAATAAAAAGAAAAGGATCTTTTAGTTGGTGATTATGGTGCCAACATGGGCATTCCAGGCAGAAAGAATAGCTCAAGCAAGAGCAGGAGAGCAAATGAGGGCAGTGGAAACAGATCAGTGGCCAGGAGTGAGAAGAGAAGAGGATGAAAACCCAGGAGAGAGAGCAGAGGACACTGAGTGTCCTGACTAGGGGTTAGGACTTTGTCCTATGGGCCTGGGGGAGCCAATGATAGGACTCAAAAATTTTGATTTGTGGCCGGGCACAGTGGCTCACACCTGTAATCCCAGCGCTTTGTGAGCCTGAGGCAGGAGGATCACTTGATCCCAGGAATTCAAGACCAGCCCGGGGAACACAACAAGGCCCCATCTCTACAAAAGTAAAAAAAATTAGCCAGGCATGTTGGCCTGTGCCTATGGTCCCAGCTACTCAGGAGGCTGAGGTGGGAAGATCGCTTGGGCCCAGGAGGTTAAGGCTGTAGTGAGCAGTGATCGCACCACCGCACTCCAGCTTGGGTGACAGAGAGAGAGGCGGTCTCAAAAACACACAAAAATTTGGATTTGTTAGAAAGACCACTTGGGCACGGGTGATAGGAGGCTGTCTGGAAACAAGGCCAGTAAGGAGTCCACCTTTGAGGACCAAGCGAGTGGGGCAGAGGCCTGGCTGCTGGTGAGAAGGGAACGTGGACAGGGTAGCGGGAGGTGAGCCCAAAGCTGAAGCAAGGGGAGCACTGCAGTGGGCGCAGGGCAGGGTGGGGGAGGCAAGTGGCATCTCTGCCCAGAGAGAATACACAAGCAGAAAGTTCAACACCGCTTACCTGGTGAAACCCTATAAGCGTTTCCACTCCATACGCGCTCTGAATAATGGGATTGTGATGTCTTACACCAATTCTCAAACTGGGCGGGCAGCTGCAGCTGAATCAACTCCAGGTGCCCGTAGTTGCGATACCAAGAGTAGTAGCTGTTCACACGGATCACATCCACATACAGAGCCTAGGACCAGAGTAGCAGAGCCCGTTCAGCAACCACAAGACCGCATGACTCAGTACTCACATGCTGTGGGGGCTCCTCTGACAGAGAAGGTAAGAAGGGGATGTAATCCCAGCACTCCGGGAGGCTGAGGCAGGAGGGTGGCTTGTGGCCAGGAGTTCAAGACCAGCCTGGGCAACACAGCAAGACCCCAGCTCTACAAAAAATAGTATCAAGAAAATTAGCACGGCACAGTGGCTCATGCCTGTAATCCCAGCAGATTGGGAGGCCAAGGTGGGAGGATCACTTGAGCCCAGGAGTTTGAGACCAGCCTGGGCAACATCGTAGGACTCCATTTCTACAAAACAAAACAAAAAGCCTAGAACGGGAAGAGCTGCCTCTCGGGGCTGAGAACGTCCAACTGCACCAATTTAGATCCTGAAATTACCCTGCCCCACCAGCAAAAAACATGGTCACAAAGTGGCCCAAAGGAGGCAGGCCTGTGATTGCACACTGACGCTCATGACGTGTGCAGCTGGGAAGGGCTGTGAGAGGCAGAGCAGCTGCCAACACGCAGTCCTCAGCCAAAACCCAGGGCCCCCGCCACTGGAACTGACTCCTCTCCAGGCAGCACTCCCAGCACTGGGCATCCCCTCACCTTGCCCTGGAGAAGCGCTCCCACCCAAGGGGCCAATGCACTCATTCTCGCAGATAATCTTTTTTCGCTTTGTTTGGAAGACAGAGTCTCGCTCTGTTGCCCAGGCTAGAATGGAGTGGCACAATAGTGCAACCTCTGCCTTCCATGATCAAGCACAGGCGTGGTGGCATGTGCCTGTTATCCCAGCTACTTGGGAGGCTGAGGCAGGAGAATTGCTTGAACCTGGGAGGCGGAGGTTGCAGTGAGCTGAGACTGTGCCACTGCACTCCAGCCTGGGCAACAGAGCAAGACTCTATCTTTAAAAAAAAAAAAAGAATGCTAGTATCAACCAGGCACGGTGGCTCATGCCTGTAATCCCAGCACTTTAGGAGGCTAAGGCAGGAGGATCACTTGAGCTCAAGAGTTTGAGACTGGCCTGGGCAACATAGTGAGATCCCATCTCTACAAAAACATTTAAAATTAGCCGGGCACAGTGGTGTACACCCGGAGTCCCAGCTACTTGGAAGGCTGAGGCAAGAGGGTTGCTTAGGCCCAGGAATTCAAGGCTGCAGTGAGCTGTGATCACACCACTGCACTCCAGCCAGAGCAACAGAGTAAGACCTTGCCTTCACAAAAAAAAAAAAAAAAAAAAAAAAAAAAAAAAAAAAAAAACTCAGGTTCCAACCCTGGAGTTACTAAATCGGGATCTCAGAATGCAGAGATCTGGCATTTCAATAAAACTTCTGGAGATTCTGATCAGCCAGGTTTGGGCCAGATGAACTCTAAGCTCACTTAAACCTTTGACATTTTATGAGTCTATTAAGTCGAGTACAAAAAATGCTGAGTCCAAACTGAGCAAACAAATCCCATCTCCCTATGCCCAGCCTCCTTGGATTCAGAAAGCCACACTGCCTGGAGAGTAAGCAGAGAGAGAATTGTCATTAACCCAAAGACCATCTTTGAAAACAGACTGGCTGCGGCTGAGTGCGGTGGCACACGCCTGTAACCCCAGCCCTTTGGAAGGCCGAGGCAGGAGGATCACTTGAGCCCAGGAGTTCGAGACCAGCCTGGGCAACATGGCAAGACCCTGTCTCTATCTTTCTAAGTAAAACAAAATAAAAAGCTCAGACTGGCAGCACATGGTTCTTTCCAGCTGTTCCCATGAGCAGGCTTCAGGACAAGCCCAGGCAAAGGCAGGGAGAAATGGGGTGGGGACCCCCAGGCTCACCCCCTTGTCTGCTGCGTAGGTGGAGTTGGTCACAAAGGTCACAGGCTGGGAGGGGTCCAAGGCTTTGGTGTGAGCAATCACCATCCTGTCCACAAAAGAGAGAAGACACAGGTTCCGTCAGTCCGGGAAAGGCTAAGACACCCTCCCATCCTCTCTGTCCCATCTTCCCCTGACAGAACACAACTGGGGGCCAGGTATGATGGCTCACATCTGTAATCCCAGCACTTCAGGAGGCTGAGGCAGGCAGATCACTGAGGTCAGGAGTTCAAGAACAGCCTGGCCAACATGGCAAAATCCCATTTCTACTAAATATACAAAAATTAGCCAGGCATAGTGGCACGCATCTGTAACTCCAGCTACTCAGGAGGCTGAGGCACAAGAATTGCTTGAACCCGGGAGGTGGAGGTTGCAGTGAGCCGAAATCACGCTACTGCACTCCAGCCTGGGCCACAGAGCAAGACCCTGCCCCAAAACAAACAAACAAACAAACAAACAAAAAAAAAAAAGAAAGAAAGAAAAGAAAAAAAAAAACAAAGCACAGAGCCGCTGCTTTCTTCCCTAACTTGAGATGTGTTTTACATAAGGGCACGTTCCTCTAGTCCTAGACCGAGCTCTCTAACATCACTCTTTCTCCCCCACCCCTGAATCCAATTCCCCCAGAGGCGTAGCCACCCTGCCAGGTACACAGAGCTGAGGTCACTGGACTGAACACTGCCAAAAATGAGGTTCGCTTCCTGAAATAACTCTTGAACACAGGAGTGAATGGGCTGTGGATTCAGGTGGAATATTTATTAATGCATCAAGCAAACAGGTAGTGCGAGGTGGGAGGTAGGCACGGGGCTGGGTGCTAGGTGCTCAGTAATGACTCAAATCTAAGTCCACAGGTCCTGGGCAGTGGGAGTGGAGATGCATGCACAGAAAAACGGTGCAAGTGCCAGGCGAGGTGGCTCACGCCTAGAACCCCAGCACTTTGGGAGGCTTACTTGAGACCAGGCGCTTGAGACCAGCCTGGGCAACATAGCAAGACCTTGTTTCTACAACAAATTTAAAAATTAGGGCTGGGCATGGTGGCTCAAGCCTGTGAGCACTTTGGGAGGCCAAGGCAGGTGGATCACGAGGTCAAGAGTTCGAGACCAGCCTGGCCAACATGGTGAAACCCCATCTCAACAAAAAATAAAGAAGAAAACTAGCTGGGCATGGTGGCGTGAGCCTGTAATCCCAGCTACTCGGGAGGGTGAGGCAGAACTGTTTGAACCCAGGAGGTAGAGGATGCAGTGAGCCAAGATCGCAACACTGCTCTCCAGCCTGGGTGACGGAGCAAGACTCTGACTCGTGGGGAAAAAAAATATTAAAATGTAGCCTGGCAAGGCAGCGCACGTCTGTGATCCCAGCTATATGGGAGGCTGAGTGGGGAGGATCGCTTAAGCCCAGGAGGTCGAGATGGCAACAAGCTATGATTGCACCACTGCACTCCAGCCTGGGCAACAGAGTGAGACCCTGACTCTGAAAAACAAACAATGAAAGAAATGTTGCGAATGGAAATGACAAGTGGTGGCAGGAATTGGGCACTCTATGAGACAACAGACACATCCCGGATTGGAGAGTCAGGGACAGGCTCTTAGAAGAAATGGCCTTTATGCTGAGTCAAGTTAACCAGGAGGGATGAAGGGAAGAGGCTCCCAACAGAGGGACCAGTCCGTGCTCAGAGCTCCCAGCATCTGCCCAAGGCCTCCACAGAACAGACTGTTGTGTTTTTGTTTTGTTTTGTTTTTTTGAGATAGAGTCTCATTCTGTAGCCCAGGCTGGAATGCAGTGGCATTATCTCAGCTCACTGCAATCTCTGCCTCCTGGTTCACCTGAGGCGATTCTCCTGCCTCAGCCTACCTAGTAGCTGGGATTACAGACGTCCACCACCACGCCCAGCTAATTTTTGTATTTTTAGTAGAGACAGGATTCACTACCTGTTGACCAGGCTGGTCTCGAACTCCTGACCTCAGGTGATCCACCCACCTCAGCCTCCCAAACTGCTGGGATTACAGGCGTGACCCACTGCATCCGGCCTATACTGTTGTTGAAACTGGTTTTCTTCTTCTTTCCTCAGTTCTTTTCTTTTACATCTTCCCCCATCATTGCTCTGCCCATCCGAAGGCTGTGGCTGGCACAGGACAGAACAGAACCTCCTAGCCTCAAGTTCCAAACCCACACTCTCCAATAGCCAGGCTCTCAGATGGGAAGCTTCAAAGCCTTGTGACAGCCTGGCTGAACCTCTCCAGCCTGGGCGCTCCCTCCGTTTCCTGCCCCGGAAACAGGCATCTCCTCTGGCCACCTCCCAAAGCCTGTCTGGAAGCCTCAGGCACCCGCTCCTGGAAGCCTGTACGATTCACAACAAAGGGCCTGTCCACCCAGTCGTGCTGAGCACACCCCTATTCCCCCGAGCTCTGAATTGTCCTTTGCCCAGGCTAGGACAACATCTCAGAGCCTTCTGCCTGCTGCAGACTCGGCTCAGCCCAAATCACTCCATGAAACTGGGGTGTGGCATCTGCCTCAAGGAGCATTTCTACAACCTCTGCTGCCTCTACCACAAATGAAACTGGCTCTCACCCACTGGCTCTCGGTGACAGGCACAGTGCGGAGCCCCACAGGGAGTGTGTAGAAGTCAAAGGCCCCAGTGACTTCTGTGCAGTCAGCCGCACCTATGACAGCCAAAGCGCCAGGTGTGAGCGCCCCGACAGCCTGAACCCCATCTGGCCTGCCCTACAGCAGGAAGACCCCTCGTGCATGCACCCCAGCAGTCGCCTCTGGGCCTGCAGAGCAGCAGCAATCAGAGGCTCTGCCCTTCACTGGCTGACCCTGGGACCTGCCCTTCAAAATCAGGCCTTCTCCTTGACCAGACGAGGTGGCTCATGCCTGGAATCCCTACACTTTGGGAGGCTAAGGCAGGAGGATCACCTGAGTCCAGGAGTTCAAGACCAGCCTGGGCAACAGAGTAAGACCCCAACTCTACAAAAAGGATTTTTTTTTTGAGACAGTCTCACTCTGTCACCCAGGATAGAGTGCAGTGGCATGATCTCAATTCGCCGCAGCCCCTGCCTCCTGGGTTCAAGCAATTCCCCTGCCTCAGCCTCCCGAGTAGCTGGGATAACAGATGTGCACCATCATGCCCTGCAAATTTTCATATTTTAGTAGAGACGGGGTTTCACCATGTTGGCCAGGCTGGTCTCCAACTCCTGGCCTAAAGTGATCCGCCCGCGTCAGCCTCCCGAAGTGCTGGGATTACAGGCGTGAGCCACCATGCCCGGCCTACAAAAAAAATTTTTTTAATTAGCCAGGCATGGTGGCATGTGCCTGTAGTCCCAGCTACTCAGGAGGCCAAGGTAGGAGGATTGCAGCTCAAAGCTGCAGTGAGCTGTGATCAGGCCATTGCATTCCAGCCTGGGTGACAGAGTGAGACCATCACACACAAAAAAAATAAAAATAAATAAATAAATAAATAAATAAATAAAAAATCTGGGCCTCCCACCAAGGGTGGGAAACATCAGAAAGCTCAGAGGACCACACCTGCCCGTTCACCTGTCCTAGGCTCCTGCTGAAGCCAGGGCTACCAGATGGGGGCAAAAGACCTCCCTTAAGCAAGTCCCAAACCACCATTACCTCCCACGAGTACAGGTAGGCGGGGTGTTCGTGCATCAGGTACGGCCACCAGAGGTTGGCACCCAGCACCTTCAGCTGGCCCTGGGTCCCAGCCTGGTTGTCCACGACTTTGTTTTCTGCATTCAAAAGACACACTTCCAACTTGAACTGGTTACTGCACTTGACGGAGATCTGGTAATTCACCAGCCCTGCAGGAGGCAAGAGAGACCAGGGCTTAGGGACGGACATGACCTGGGTCACACAAACGGGAATACCCCACAATGACCACTCCCAGGCACTCTCATTTGCTTCTGTTGCTTTTTTCTTTTTTTTTTTTTTTTGAGATAGAATCTCGCTCTGTCGCCCAGGCTGGAGTGCAGTGGCATGATCTGGACTCACTGAAACCTCTGCCTCCCAGGTTCAAGTGATTCTCCTGCCTCAGCCTCTGGAATAGCTGGGATTACAGGCACCTGCCACCACATCCAGCTAATTTTTGTATTGTTAGTAGAGACGGGGTTTCACCACATTAGCCAGGATGGTCTTGATCTCCTGACCTCATGATCCGCCTGCCTCGGCCTCCCAAAGTGCTGGGATTACAGGCTTGAGCCACCGTGCCCGGCCCTGAACCAATGCGCCCGGCCCGCTTTTTTTTAATTTAATTTTTTAATTTTTTTTTTGAGATGGAGTCTCACTCTGTCACCCAGGCTGGAGTGTAGTGCTGCGATCCTGACTCACTGCAACCTCCACCTCTGGAGTTCAGGTGATTCTCCTGCCTCAGCCTTCCGAGTACCTGGGAATACAGGAATGCACCACCATGCCCGGCGAATTTTTGTATTTTTAGTAGAGATGGAGTTTTGCCATGTTGGCCAGGCTGGTCTCGAACTCCTCAACTCAGGTGATCCACCCGCCTCAGTCTCCCAATAGATTAGATAAATTATTAATGAATTGCTTCCTTTAACACCCTATTCATTGAATTTTCCAGTAAACCACAATTACTAATTACTCCTGAAATCAGAAAAGAGGTTAAAAAGATTTTATAACAGTATCCTAGGAAATCTACTACTTTCAATAGTAGTTGAATTACCAAAACCCGTCACTCAAGCCAATGACTACAATTAAGATATCAGTAACATTTCCTAGATAAATAAAGTCAATTAATTATATTTGCATCTGGGAAATAGAAAAAGTACATATAAGCCATGATTTTGAAGTCAAAAGAGAGAGAATATTTGGCAAGGAGGGGTGAGTTATAGTATGTAATTATGACATATAGTAGTTTTTTGTATGCTGGTAACTAATTTTAATTTCCTACATTTTTATGTAGATTTCTGCTATGCTTGTCCTATTTTCCTAATCATCTTTCTATATGGATGACTACATAAGTCTGAGAATACCAAAAGAGACAGACACAGAACCAATCGGATTCCTTTCTTCTTGAAGCTTCTGCACAGCAAAAGAAACTATCAACAGAGTGAACAGACAACCTACAGAATGGGAGAAAATTTTTGCAACAATGCATGTGACAAAGATCTAATGTCCAACACTGATAAGGAACTTAAACAAATTTACAAGAAAAAAAAATCTCATTAGAAAGTGGGCAAAGGACATAAACAGACACTTCAAAAGAAGACACACATGCGGCCAACAAGCATATGAAAAAAAGCTCAATATCACTGATCATTAGAGAAATGCAAACCAAAACCACAATGGCATACCATCTCAACACCAGTCAGAATGGTTATTATGAAAAAGTCAACGCTGGGCATGGTGGCTCACGCCTATAATCCCAGCACTTTAGGAGGCCAAGGCAGGCAGATCGCCTGAGGTCAGGAGTTCCAGACCAGCCTGGACAACCTGGCGAAACCCCGTCTCTACTAAAAATACAAAAATTAGCCCAGCGTGGTGGCAGGCGCCTGTAATCCCAGCTACTCAGGATGCTGAGGCAGGAGAATCGCTTGAACCCGGGAGGCAGAGGTTGTAGTGAGCCGAGATCATGCAACTGCATTCTCCAGCTTAGGTGACAGAGCGAGACTCTGTCTCAAAAAAAAAAAAATATTTGAATTTTGTTTAAATCGCTAACACATACTGGGCATTTAATAACAAAAAAAAGGACATGAGATTGTGATCCTTATGAGGGTCTGAGAGGCATTTCACTAGGGTTCAACATAGAGCAGTCTGAAACATACTGTAATAATTTAATCCAATGGCTCATCTACAGCACCTAAAAAGGTTACAGCAGATTCTCATTATTCAGTGTAGTTACGGTCTAGAAAGTTCCATGAACAAATAAAAAGTTAGGTTTCAGCAAGCTACTGGTCACATTTTTGTAAGCTTACCAACACCTACTTTTGTTGTATGGGTGCTTATTTAATATATATTGTTGGCCAGGCACAGTGGCTAACGCCTGTAATCCCAGCACTTTGGGAAGCCAAGGCGGGCAGATCATTTGAGGTCTGGAGTTCGAGACCAGCCTGGCCAACGTGGTGAAACCCCGTCTCTACTAAAACTACAAAAAAAAAAAAAAATTAGCCAGGCATGGTGGCGCATGCCTGTAGTCTTAGCTACTTGGGAGGCTAAGGCAGGGGAATCGCTTGAACCCAGGAGGCAGAGGTTGCAGTCAGCCAAGACTGCACCACTGCACTCCAGCCTGAGCAACAGAGTGAGACTCTATCTCAAAAAATAATAATAATAATTAATTAAATGAATGAATAAATAAATAATATACATTGTTCATTCATTAACATTGAACTCACAGCCAATGGCACCACAGCACTCACGCCTGAATGGAGTTTATTTAATGCATGTATTTTCTCTGTAAGGCACATCACAGACTTCTTGGACTTGTGAATGCTAAGCAGCACTTCAGCACTATGCTTGGGGGTTAATTTAAATGGCAAAACAACCAACAAACAGTACAAAAATAGGAAAAGCATGGCATTAAATAGACCACAAAAAGGATACCTGACTATTGTATGAGAGCTGAAAAAGAAGGCAGAATATCATCCTGTTCAAACTCAAATTCTTTGACACTCTATGCAAACACGTGACTATGAAAGTGCTGTGAGTACTGATTTGGGGGTTACAAAAAATAGTAGGTGAGTTCACAAATACAAAAGCTGAAAACAAGGAGGATTGACTGTATTTTCGTAGACAATCTAATCTCATAGAAGATTTCAATTCAGACAAAAATCATGAGAATTACTGTATTACAAAAGGGCACTAGATAGGGGGAAAAGAGTAAAAATCAGAATTAAAACAAAGGTTCAAAATTCTGCATCAACCATATCCAGTTACACTTTAATATATTTGTAGCAGACTACATTATTGTTCCCAACTCATCACCCCTCCCTATATCTACAACCTTTCCCCAAGACAATGCAGTTCCTCCTGCTAGAGGTCAGGTATATTTATCTATACTATCAATGTTAGCCATGGACAAGGTATGTGCTTTGGCTGACTGAATGTCAGTGGACATGATAGAAGCAAAGGCTTAAAATGTACTTCCAGAACTGGAGTTTCCTTGTGATTCTACCACTGTGACAAAAAACACATTCTCAGGTAGTCCACTGATCCAAGGGGGAACAAACACACAGAAAACATACCTAGACTCTATCTGCAGCTTGCAGCCTCACCAAGCCAAGAACAGTCAACTCACAGATATGTTCGCAAAAATAAATGTTTTTCGTACCTTAAGTTTTATATAATTATTGACCTATAGTTAACTGATATACAATATACATTAATCTTAAAATATCATCATCCCATTAAAAATATTTACATTAAAAACTGAGACCACTTTCTGTCCTCCTTTTTTTTTTTTTTTCTTTAAATTAAGAGACAGGGTGTCTCAATGTTGTCCAAGCTGGAGTTCAGTGGCTAGTGGCTATTCACAAGAACGATCATCGCACACAACCTCAAACTCCTGGGATCAAGCAATCCTCCTGCCTCAGCTTTCCAAGTAGCTGGGACTATAAGTGTGTACCACAGCATGTCAGCTCTCTCTCTCCTTCTTGACCTAAAGCCTAGCATAAAATTAGCTAAGTAGAATGTTTCCAAAGATGCCTGCATCACTATCTCCCATCCCACATAATTTCTGTTTGATTTTGCCATTCACCCATAAAATGGTGGGATCTACCTCCCCTCCTTGCAAATTTGAGCTGGCCCTCTGATCCTGTCTAAGATCTGAAGCCAGATATTAAGGTACTTCATTAATTTCCATGTTTGTCCTCTATGCAACCTAGCAATCAAGCAAGAAGTCAAAACCTACTGATATAGTTTGGATGTGTCCCCACCCAAATCTCACCTTGCATTGTAATAATTCCCACGTGTCAAGGGTGGGGCCGGGTGCAGATAACTGAATCATGGGGATGGTTCCCCCCATACTGTTCTCGTAGTAGTGAATAAGTCTCATGAGATCTGATGGTTTTATAAATGGGAGTTCCCCTGCACATGCTCTCTCCTGCCTGCCACTATGGGAGACATGCTTTTGCACCTCCTTGCCTTCCACCATGATTGTGAGGCCTCCCCAGCCACGCAGAACTGTGAGTCAATTCAACCTCTTTCCTTTATAAATTACCCAGTCTCAGGTATGTCTTTATTTGCAGTGTCAGAACAGACTAATACAATAAGTTGGTACCAGTAGAGTGGGGTGCTGCTGTAAAGATACCCAAAAATGTGGAAGCAACTTTGGAAATGGGTAACAGGGAGAGGCTGGAACAGTTTGGAAGGCTCAGAAGAGGATAGGAAAATGTGGGAAAGTTTGGAACTTCCTAGAGACTTGTTGAACGGCTTTGACCAAAATGTTAATAGTGATATGGACAATAAGGTCCAGGCGGAGGTGGTTCTCTCAGAGGGAGATGAGGAATTTGTGGGGAAACGGAGTAAAGTCACTCTTACTATGCAAAGACACTGCAGGCATTGTGCACCTGTATTAGAAACAGGCATAAGATAGGCGGGAAAGAGTGAAAATAAGAATTTTTTTCTAGAGTTCCCTAGAGATCTGTGGAACTTTGAACTTGAGAGAGATGATTTAAGGTATCTGACAGAAGAAATTTCTAAGCAGCAAAGCATTCGAGAAGAAGCAGAGCATAAAAGTTCAGAAAATTTGTAGCCTGATGATGCAACAGAAAACAAAAGTCTATTTTCTGAGGAGACTGGGTTGTAGAAATTTGCATAAGTAATGAGGAGCCAAATGTTAATCACCAAGACAATGGGGCAAACGTCTCCAGGGCATGTTAGAGACCCTCACAGCAGACCCTCCCATCACAGGCCAGGAGGCTTAGAAGGAAAAATGGTTTTGTGGGTCCAGAACCCCCTGCTGTGTGCAGCCCAGGAACTTGGTGCCCTGCATCCCAGCTGCTCCTGCCATAGGTAAAAGGGGCCAAGGTACACCTCGGGCCATGGCTTCAGAGGGTGCAAGTTCCAAGCCTTTCAGGTTCTAGGCGGTGTTAAGCCTGCAGATGCACCGAAGTCAAGAATTAACGTTCATGAACCTCCGCCTAGATTTCAGAAGATGTATGAAAATGCCTGGAAATCCAGGCAAAAGTTTGCTGCGGGGGGGGGGCCCTCATGGATAACCTCTGGTAGGGCAGTGTCAAAGGGAAATATGGGGTTGGAGCCCCCACACAGAGTCCCCACTGGGGTACTGCCAAGCAGAGCTGTGAGAAAAGGGCCACCATCCTCCAGACCCCAGAATGGTAGATCCACTGACAGCTTGCACTGTGTGCCTGGAAAAGCTGCAGACACTCAATGCAGCCAGAAGGGGGGCTGTACCCTGCAAAGCCACAGGGGCGGGGCTGCCCAAGACCCTGGGAACCCACTTCTTGCATCACCTAGATGTGACACATGGAGTCAAAGGAGGTCATTTTGGAGCTTTAAGATTTGCCTGCTGGGTTTTGGACTTGCATGGGGCCTGTAGCTCTTTCGCTTTGGCCAATTTCTCCCATTTGAAACGAGTGTATTTACCCAATGCCTGTATCCCTGTGTATCTAGAAAATAACTCACTTGCTTTTGATTTTACAGGCTCATAGGTGGAAGGGACTTGCCTTGTCTCAGATGAGACTTTGGACTATGGAATTTTGAGTTAATGCTGAAATAAGAGTTTGGGGGACATTGGGGAAGGCATGATTGCTTTTGAAATGTGAGGACATGAGATTTGGGAGGGGCCGGGGAAGAATTATATGGTTTGGCTCTGTCCCCACCCAAATCTCATCTTGAATTGTAACAATTCCCATGTGTCAAGGGTGGGGCCAGGTGGAGATAATTGAATCATGGAGGCAGTTTCCCCCATGCTGTTCTCATGGTAGTGAATAAGTCTCATGAGATCTGATGGTTTTATAAATGGGAGCTCCCCTGCACGTGCTCTCTCCTGCCCACCATGTCTGACTAAATTTTGTATTTTTACTAGAGACGGGGTTTCACTATGTTGGCCAGGCTGGACTCCAACTCCTGATCTCGTGATCCGTCCACCCCGACCTCCCAAAGTGCTAGGATTATAGGCATAAGCCACCACACCCGGCCTCTTTTTTTTCTTTTTCTTTTTTTTATCTGGAGACTCAGTTTTGCACTCGTTGCCCAGGCTGGAGTGCAATGGTGCGATCTCAGCTCACTGCAGTCTCCACCTCAGCAGGAGAGCAGGAATCTTCAGTGATCCACGGGCAGATCTGCAGCCATTGTGGGCACCTGTTCCTCCCGTGACCTTTGTGCCCGCGTCTCTCCCTCCAGTACCTATTGCACGACCCCCCCACGTCCGCCTCCTGCCATTGCCAGCAAGTGCCTTGCGCGGGTACCTGGCTGCGCTTATTAATCCATTATGGTCGCTCTGTCACTGGTGCCATTATGTGCTCACGCGCCCACTCCCTCAGGTTTAGAAGGTGCGTTGCCCGGCAACAGAAGAATCTGCTGGCTTAGCCTTTGGCCGAGTTGGCAGCTGGACGAGGACGCTCAGAGCCCAGCTCTCGAGAGTTCAAGCATCCGACGGTTCCCCACTGCTCCCAGGAGCGGTTACCCGGGCACTCTGTGCCCCTCATTCCTGTTTGGGCCAAGGCCGAGGACCTGCGAGTAGGGCTCAGTTGCCTGGAGCCCCTTCAGCCCATCCCCCAGTTCACTTTGCTTGTGGGATCTCCCCGTTGCTCCTGCCCCTGGACTGAGTGGCAGGCCATCCTACAAGCACCCGGACACTCGACATCAGTGGTGTCAAGACAACTCTAAGAAGGTTTTCCGTGATCCTGCAAGACCTGTGTTCCATCCTGGTGATTCTGCCTTCAATTTCACTGCACAGGTACCACAGTAAGCCAGTGCTGTGTGCTCCGAGTTCCAGGGCATCCCCCAGCTCAGCCACTACACTGAGCACAAGGACTCTGTGGGGCCCAGGAGCAGGTAGTCACCCCTTTGGGGTCCACAACACCCAGCTGTCCCCAGACTTGTTTCCAGGGAAGATAGTGTCGAGGGCCCTCAAGGAGAGCGGGGCAGGGATGCCTGGGCAGGACAAGGACCCTAGAGTCCAAAAGAATCCTGATGATCAGAGAAGAGTCCCCGAGGTCACCGGGGATGCACGGTCTGCATTTTGGCCCCTGCGGGACACTGGAGTCCTCTTTCCCTTTGTGCCCAGTCCCGGGCCTCTGCAGACATACCTCCATGCCCAGAGGTCAGAAATCAGATCCAACCAGACATCCCAGACCACCTGGACGAGCTCGTGCACCAACCAAAATGCCATCTCCAGCTCCTACAGCTCCGCGGGAGGCTTGCTGGGGCTAAAGTGGAGGAGGGGGCCAGCGGAGCAAAACAGCGGGGCAGGGATGCCTGAGCAGGACAAGGACCCCAGAGTCCAAGAAAATCCTGATGATCAGAGAACGGTCCCCGAGGTCACCGGGGATGCACGGTCTACAGTTCGGCCCCTGCGGTACAATGGAGGCCTCTCTCCCTTTGCGCCCAGGCCCGGGCCTCTGCAGACAGACCTCCATGCCCAGAGCTCAGAAATCAGATATAATCAGACATCCCAGACCTCCTGGACGAGCTCGAGCACCAAACGAAATGCCATCTCCAGCTCCTACAGCTCCACGGGAGGCTTGCCGGGGCTAAAGCAGAGGAGGGGGCCAGCCTCATCCCGCTGCCAGCTGACCCTCAGTTACTCAAAGACAGTGAGTGAGGACAGGCCTCAGGCTGTCTCTTCGGGTCACACACGGTGTGAAAAGGCGGCAGATACAGCACCAGGGCAGACACTTGCCCCAAGGGGTGGCTCCCCCAGATCCCAGGCCTCTAGGCCCCGTAGACGCAAGATTGCCCTGCTGCCACGCAGGCGAGGGGAGCCTTTGATGCTGCCACCTCCCTTAGAGCTGGGGTACCGGGTCACGGCTGAAGACCTGCACCTGGAAAAAGAGGCGGCATTCCAGCGGATCAACAGTGCGCTGCAGGTTGAGGACAAGGCCATCTCGGACTGCAGACCCTCATGGCCTTCCCACACTCTGTCCTCACTTGCAACAGGGGCTTCTGGTGGGCCTCCTGTTTCTAAAGCACCCACTATGGATGCACAGCAGGACAGACCCAAGTCCCAAGACTGCCTGGGCCTAGTGGCCCCCCTTGCATCTGCTGCAGAGGTCCCCTCTACAGCTCCCATGTCTGGGAAGAAGCACAGACCACCAGGACCCCTGTTCTCCTCCTCAGATCCCCTTCCTGCCACCTCTTCCCACTCCCGGGACTCAGCCCAGGTCACCTCGCTGATTCCTGCGCCCTTCACAGCTGCAAGCATGGATGCCGGCATGAGAAGAACAAGGCCTGGCACGTCGGCTCCTGCAGCTGCCGCGGCAGCCCCTCCCCCCTCCACATTGAACCCCACGTCGGGGTCACTACTCAAGGCAGTGGATGGAGGCCCTTCACATTTCTGGGCCTCAGCCACAGCTGCAGCAGGTGCCCAGAGGTCAGAAGTGAGATATACCCATAGATCCCAGACCTCCCGGACCAGATTGTGCCGCAAACGAAAGGCCAGCTCGAGCTCCCACAGCTCTCCGGAAGGCCTCCCAGAACTAAAGCGGAGGAGGGTGTCAGCCTCATCCCGCTGCCAGCTGGCCCTCGGTTCCTCAAAGACAGTGAGTTAGGACGGACCTCAGGCTGTCTCTTCGGGTCACACCCGGTGTGAAAAGGCGGCAGATACAGCACCAGGGCAGACACTCACCCCCAGGGGTGGCTCCCCGTGATCCCAGGCCTCTAGGCCCCGCATCAACAGTGCACTGCACGTTGAGGACAAGGCCATCTCGGACTGCAGACCCTCACGGCCTTCCCACACTGTCCTCACTTGCAACAGGGGCTTCTGGTGGGCCTCCCGTTTCTAAAGCACCCACTATGGATGCACAGCAGGACAGACCCAAGTCCCAAGACTGCCTGGGCCTAGTGGCCCCCCTTGCATCTGCTGCAGAGGTCCCCTCTACAGCTCCCGTGTCTGGGAAGAAGCACAGACCACCAGGACCCCTGTTCTCCTCCTCAGATCCCTTTCCTGCCACCTCTTCCCACTCCCGGGACTCAGCCCAGGTCACCTCGCTGATTCCTGCGCCCTTCACAGCTGCAAGCATGGATGCCGGCATGAGAAGAACAAGGCCTGGCACGTCGGCTCCTGCAGCTGCCGCGGCAGCCCCTCCCCCCTCCACATTGAACCCCACGTCGGGGTCACTACTCAAGGCAGTGGATGGAGGCCCTTCACATTTCTGGGCCTCAGCCACAGCTGCAGCAGGTGCCCAGAGGTCAGAAGTGAGATATAACCAGAGATCCCAGACCTCCCGGACCAGATCGTGCCGCAAACGAAAGGCCAGCTCAAGCTCCCACAGTTCTATGGAAGGCCTCCCGGAACTAAAGCGGAGGAGGGGGCCAGCCTCATCCTGCTGCCAGCTGGCCCTCAATTCCTCAAAGACAGTGAGTGAGGATGGACCTCAGGCTGTCTCTTCGGGTCACACCCGGTGTGAAAATAAGGCAGATACAGCACCAGGGCAGACACTCGCCCCCAGGAGTGGCTCCCCCAGATCCCAGGCCTCTAGGCCCCGCATCAACAGTGCACTGCATGTTGAGGACAAGGCCATCTCGGACTGCAGACCCTCACGGCCTTCCCACACTCTGTCCTCACTTGCAACAGGGGCTTCTGGTGGGCCTCCCGTTTCTAAAGCACCCACTATGGATGCACAGCAGGACAGACCCAAGTCCCAAGACTGCCTGGGCCTAGTGGCCCCCCCTAGCATCTGCTGCAGAGGTCCCCTCTACAGCTCCCGTGTCTGGGAAGAAACAAAGACCACCAGGACCCCTGTTCTCCTCCTCAGATCCCTTTCCTGCCACCTCTTCCCACTCCCGGGACTCAGCCCAGGTCACCTCGCTGATTCCTGCGCCCTTCACAGCTGCAAGCATGGATGCCGGCATGAGAAGAACAAGGCCTGGCACGTCGGCTCCTGCAGCTGCCGCGGCAGCCCCTCCCCCCTCCACATTGAACCCCACGTCGGGGTCACTACTCAAGGCAGTGGATGGAGGCCCTTCACATTTCTGGGCCTCAGCCACAGCTGCAGTAGGTGCCCAGAGGTCAGAAGTGAGATGTAACCAGAGATCCCAGACCTCCCGGACCAGATCGTGCCGCAAACGAAATGCCAGCTCGAGCTCCCACAGCTCTACGGAAGGCCTCCCGGAACTAAAGCGGAGGAGGGTGTCAGCCTCATCCCGCTGCCAGCTGGCCCTCAGTTCCTCAAAGACAGTGAGTGAGGACGGACCTCAGGCTGTCTCTTCGGGTCACACCCGGTGTGAAAAGGCGGCAGATACAGCACCAGGGCAGACACTCACCCCCAGGGGTGGCTCCCCGTGATCCCAGGCCTCTAGGCCCCGCATCAACAGTGCACTGCACGTTGAGGACAAGGCCATCTCGGACTGCAGACCCTCACGGCCTTCCCACACTGTCCTCACTTGCAACAGGGGCTTCTGGTGGGCCTCCCGTTTCTAAAGCACCCACTATGGATGCACAGCAGGACAGACCCAAGTCCCAAGACTGCCTGGGCCTAGTGGCCCCCCTAGCATCTGCTGCAGAGGTCCCCTCTACAGCTCCCGTGTCTGGGAAGAAGCACAGACCACCAGGACCCCTGTTCTCCTCCTCAGATCCCTTTCCTGCCACCTCTTCCCACTCCCGGGACTCAGCCCAGGTCACCTCGCTGATTCCTGCCCCCTTCCCAGCTGCAAGCAGGGATGCCGGCATGAGAAGAATGTTTTGTGTTCGAAATTGTTTGAGCGGTTTGGGTTTATTTTTGTTGGGTTTTTTTTTGTTTTTTTTTTTGCTTACATGGGCATCCTTCAGCTTTTAATAATCTGAAAAATTCTATTTACCCATTGTCAATGTGTATAAATTAATCTGAGTCAATTTTATACAATAAAAGGTGAACTTTTATGCATGAAACAATAATTTAACAAAAAATGTACTGGAAGAAGAATGTTCATTACAAATATAGGAAACATAAATATTACCAAATATTGGCAAGCACTAAAATGTTCAGAAATATAAGTCTATTACAGTTATAGCTCTCTCAAGCAAAAAAATAGCAGAGAAAAACTTAGTTTACCTTAGGGGCTATTTATTTACTTAGAGATTTGTTAAAAGGTCAAATGGGGTCACACAGAATACTAAGAAGAGCTGTTCACCCAGGCCTCACTAAGAACTCTTCTTCATTCAGTAGCTATATGGTAATATGACAACTGCTCCTACGACCCAAAGAGGAACTACAGCAACTACTCTTTAGCATCTGTTGCTCCCAACTCTGCTTTGCAATTATATGACTCAAGCATTCTGGCTCCGTTAACTATTACTGCTGTTACTCCCAATTAAATTCCCTCTAAAAAATAAAAATTTTTAAAGCTGCAATTTAAGCTTTCTGCTGCCTCATGACTTCAATTCCATCAGAGTTATGCATTGTTTCCTCTGTACATCTTTGCTCTGCTTCCATTGCTACTTCCCTAGTAAAGTGTTGTATATTCAAAGTTCCAAAGAAACAGAATATCCAAGACATCACCAATCATCCAAAACACAGTGTAGGAGGCCACAGTTAAGAGAAGCAAGACCATTAGCTCTTTTTATAGGCTCGAGAACAACAGGATGCTTTGGTCCTGTATCAGCAGGATGCTTTTCGGGTAGATCCTACTGCCACCCTACTATCGGGTAGATCCTACTGCCACCCTAGCTATGGGCACATGTCAGAGTCCCATGTAATAAAGGAGACAAAAGGAAACCACCACGAGTATAAACTAAGAAAAGTACTCCAAGGTTTCTAAGAATGGAGCTGTATAACTCACTTTGCCCCATTTGTTACTTCTCCACGGTACTTACCACCACCTATTACGTATATTTTGTTTATAGTCAGTCTTCCCTCATTAGAATGAAAGTTCCGTGAGGATAGGACTATACAGTCAGCCCTCAGTATCCATGGGGGACTAGTTTCAGGATCTCCTGAGGATAACAAAGGATACTCAAGTCCCTGATATAAAATGACATAGTATTTGCACATCACCTTTGCACATCCTCCCATATACTTCATATCAACTCTAGATCACTCATAATATCCGATGTAAATGTCATGCAAATAGTTATTGTACTATATTGTGTAAGGAATAAGGAGAAGAAAAAAGTCTGTACATGTTCAGTACAGACGCAATTTCTTTTTCCAATATTTCCAATCCTTGGTTGGCTTAATAAACAGATGTAGAACCCAGGAATAAGTTCTGGTGTCCTATTGCATAGTAGGATGAGTATAGTTAACAATAACGTATCATATATTTGAAAATAGCCAGAAGAGTAGATTTTGAATTTTCTCCCTACAGAAAAATCATTATGCAAATTACCCTGATTGGATCATTACACATTGAGTACGTGTATTAAAACATCACATTGTACCCCGTATATATGTACAATTATTATGTGCCAATAAAAATTTAATGTCAATATGTGAAATAAAATGAAAAAATAAAAATTTTTAAAGCTGTAATTATCTCCATCTGGTAGGAATATATATAATCTGAAATAAAAAATATATTTGTAATTGTTAGGACAAAATAAGATTATAGATTATTTTAAGTTTGCAAATTATAAATTATAAAATTCTCACAGAACCTGAAAAATTATTGGTATTGTTAAATATTTAAAAAGCTGCCCTTGGAGAGAAAGAAACCTATCAGATTTACATCAACAAGTGTAATATATCAGCCTATTACCATCTGCTACAGACTGCATGTTTGTGTTCCCTCAAAATTCATATGATAGGCCGGGCGCGGTGGCTCATGCCTATAATCCCAGCACTTTGGGAGGCCGAGGCGGGTGGATCACGAGGTCAGGAGATCGAGATCATCCTGGCTAACATGGTAAAACCCCGTCTCTACTAAAAATACAAAAAATTAGCCGGGCGCAGTGGCGGGCGCTTTAGTCCCAGCTACTCAGGAGGCTGACGCAGGAGAATGGCGTGAACCCAGGAGGCGGAGCTTGTAGAGAGCCGAGATTGTGCCACTGCACTCCAGCCTGGGTGACAGACAGAGCGAGACTCTGTCTCAAAAAAAAAAAAAAAAAAAAAAAATTCATATGATAAAGCCCTAACCCCCAAGGTGAGGATATTGGGAGGCGTGGCCTTTAGGAGAGAATTAGGTTTAGATGAGGTCATTAGAATAGAGCCCCTATGGTGGCATTACTTCCTTTATAAGAAGAGACACTAGAGCTGCTTTTCTCCCTACCATGTGAGGATACTGAGAGAAGATGGCCATTTCCAATCTAGGAAGCAGGCCCTCTTTAAGAAACGTAATTTGCCAACACTTTGATCTTGCACTTCCAGCCTCCAGAACTGTGAGAAATATCTCGTTTTTTTTTTTTTTGTTTTTTTTTTTTGTTTTGTTTTGTTTTTTGAGACAGAGTCTCATTCTGTCATCCAGGCTGGAGTACAGTGGTGCGATCATGGCTCACTGCAACCTCCGCCTCCCAGGTTCAAGCAATTCTCCCACCTCAGCCTCCCAAGTAGCTCAGACTACAGGCGTGCACCACCATGCCCAGCTAATTTCTGTAGAGACAAGGTTTTGCCATGCTGCCCAGGCTAGTCTCAAACTCTTGAGCTCAAGTTATCCACCTGCCTCGGCCTCCCAAAGTGTTAGGAATACAGGCATAAGCCACCACGCCTGGTCAAAATATCTACTGTTTAAGCTACCTAATTTATGGTATTCTGTTTTAGCAGCTGAAGCAGACTAAGATACCATCCTATAAGCTACAGACCAGCACTATCCAATAGAACTTTATATGACGAGGAAATGTTTTATATCTGTGCTATCCATTATGTTAGCCACTAGCCACATGTATCCATCAAGTATTTGAAATATGGCTAGTGCAACTAAAGAACTTAATAATTTTTTTTTTTTTTTTTTGAGATGGAGTCTCGCTCTGTCCCCCAGGCTGGAGTGCAGTGGCGCCATCTCGGCTCACTGCAAACTCTGCCTCCCAGGTTCACGCCATTCTCCTGCCTCAGCCTCCTGAGTAGCTGGGACTGCAGGCGCCCGCCACCACGCCCGGCTAATTTTTTGTATTTTTAGTAGAGATGGGGTTTCACCGTCTTAGTAAGGATGGTCTCGATCTCCTGACCTCATGATCTGCCCGCCTCGGCCTCCCAAAGTGCTGGGATTACAGGCGTGAGCCACCACGCCTGGCCAATTTTTATTTTATCTTATTTAAATAACCACATGTGGCTAGTGGCTAATGTATTGAACACCACAGCCGTAGACAATATCAAATAAATATAAAGCAGTCTCAACTTTGGAAAAACAGAAGACTCTTACTGCCTCATAATATAGATGAAAAATGAAATACTAAGTTGAGTAAAATGTTCTTTAAAGAACAAAAACAAAAGAAAACCTAATGAAAGCTATAAAAGTCCATTGGATAATAATGCTACCAGTACTAACGAAGTACAGCCCCTAAAAGTGACTTGCAGTCACAAATATAAAAATGACTATTCAAGTGAACTCCTAAAGTAAAAATTTGTTATTCACCATGCTCCAAAATGGTCTGTAATATTCTTCAGAGATGGCATGGTAAAGTACGATACAAGGGTAATATTAACAGTATGCTGTCACAGGTGCCATTCTCTCAAAAAAGAAATCCCAAAATAAATATAAACGGAAAGCAAATAATTAATGGAGTTTTTACGGTCAATCAATGGTAAATATTATTGCCATTAGATTTTTCTATTAATTATAGTTTTACCTATGATCATGTATTTTTCCATTTAAAAATTACCCTAAAACTTAATGGCTTAAAATAACAAATACGTATGACACAATTTATAGAAGTCAGGGAAATGATGGATTTGGGTAGGTGGTTCTGACTCGAAGTCTCTCATGAGTAAAGGTTGCTGTCATGTTGTTGACCCAGGCAGCATCCCCTGAAGCCTTTAACTTGTGTTGGAAGGTCCATGTCTTAGTTTGTTTGCACTGTCGCTACAGAATACCATAGACAGGGTAGCTTATAAACAACAGAAATGTTTCTAATGGTACCGGAGGCTGGATGGTGCAAAATCAAGGTGCTTGCAGATTTGGTGTCTGGTCAGAGCCCATTTTTTAGTTCATAGATTACTGTCCTCTAGCTCACATGGCAGAAGGGGCAAGGACGCTTTCTGGGGTCTCTTTTATAAGGGCACTAATCCCCGGCTGGGCACGGTGGCTCACGTCTGTAATCCCAGTACTTTGGGAGGCTGAGGCAGGCAGATCACGAGGTCAGGAGGTCCAGACCAGCCTGGCCAGTATGGTGAAACCCCGTCTCTACTAAAAATACAAAAATTAGCCAGGTGTGGTGGTGCGTACCTGTAGTCTCAGCTACTCAGCTACTCAGGAGGCTGAGGCAGAAGAAACACTTGAACCCAGGAGGCAGACGTTGCAGTGAGCTGACATGGCGCCACTGCACTCCAGCCTGGGTAACAGAGCAAGACTCTGTCTCAAAAATAAATAAATAAATAAAAATAAAAATAAAAATAAGAAATAATAATCAAGGCACTAATCCCCAACATGAAGACAGACTATCATCTACCAAAAGCTCCACCTCCTACTATCATTACATTGGGGGTTAGGATTTCACAAATTCAGTGCATCATAGTCTGCTTCTAGAATGTTTAATCATTTGGCTGGATATCAGATAGGATGCCTCGGTTCTTCATGTGAGCTTTCTAGAAAAGATACTTTGGAATTATTTGCATGGTGGCTGGGCTCGTAAAGAGTTGAAGGAGAGAAAGAGAGAGAAACACCAGTAAGGAGCAAATTAGTTCACTCAAAATTAAAACCCTAGCCTTTGTGACCTTGTCTCAGAAGGTAACATTCCAATCCTGTGGTGTTTTATTTCTTAGATGGGAGTCACTCAGCTTAGCCTGCCTTCAAGGGGAGGAGTATGAAGCTCCACTTCTTAAACTGAGGAGGATCAACAAATATGTAGATATATATATATTTTTAATAGTATTACAGCTCATGAACCCATTTAAACCCATTTTAGAACTTTAAAGAAATATTTTAAAACGGAATTTTCAATTAAGCCGAAGAAATTGCCAGCTGTGGAACAGTGAACTTTATCGCTGAAATCACACACATATGTACACACACACAGTGTAAACTCATACATGATCAAATCTATAACCTTATTACACAAAGTTTTGTGAGAGGAAAAATGCTTGACTTTTCAAAAGGGCTCATTTATTAAAAATAAAATTACCATTGTGTTCATTTTAGCTGCAACCTTTAAGCAATCAATGACTATATACTTGCTGTAATCATCCTTTAAAATTAGAATTATTGAAAAGCTTTATCACTGATGAATGAAAGAAAGTAATATTGACTTGTGGCCAAGAGAGAGAATCTCAGGCAATAAACAGGTGCAGTCTTTGAAGGAATCGTTTTATTTTATTAACTTTCTGACATTATTGAAGCCAATTTTAAATAAATTCATCATGTTTTTAAATTTAATCACATATTATTTTATCATACCTTAGGTAAAGTTTCAATCTAAGTAACTCCTGGATAAAAAATGAAGTATATCAATTTACAATTACAAATACCCAAATTGTAGAGGCATGCATTTTTCAATGACATTTATAAATTGTGTTTTGTTGTTTGTGCCTTGTGTTTGTTTTATTTATCAAATTAATTTATATAGATATATGTATGGAAATGAGACAGATATAACCAGTTCTCTATAAGTAAGCATTATTTAATGGAGTCTTTCCTTTCACTAATGATCATCAGGACAGCTAGGGAAGTGAGTTGAAATTTTCAGGCCATTAGGTTAATAGTTCCAGTAATTCTAGTAATGTTTCGACAGTCATAATATAAATGATACTATGTGGCTTGAATTAATGCATTTTCTTATGTAACAAATAATAAGACAATTTTTAAAAGTGGTAATTACTATTTTTAAATATGACAATTAAAAATAACGAAAGAAAAGAGGTTGTACATTGAGTAGCCATAACATTATCTTTAAACATATTTATTCTTCATTTCCTAACTTTTCCCACCTTTTGGCTAAATCGTATGTTCTTTCTCTCACCTCACTTCTGTTTTATTACTCTCTGGGAAAGATTTTTATATAAAACGTCTAAGCAATCAAACCTAACGCAGGATGAATTTCTACACATTACTATACCCTCTGGTCACTATTTTTTTCTTCTCTTTATTGCCCATTTCCCTGTTCTTGAAACATTCCAATTATTTGCCTTCCATGACATTCTACTCTTACTTTTACTTTTCTGTCTCTGATTACTCATTTCCAGTTCCCTTTGTCATCTCCTTGTCTTCCTACACCTGCCAATTAAATGTGAATTTCCTCTGCATTTCATCTTATGTCTCCTTTTCTTCTGCCAAATTCTCTCCTTAGACAAATACAGTCATTCCCATGGTTTTATATCCCACTTATCTTCAGGGGCTCTAGAATGTATAGCGCCAGGCCAAATCTATCTTAAGAACTTACTTTACTTAACCAATTACATCTGCATCTGCTCAGGATCATGTAACCCAGATCAGAATTTGGCTCTTTTGTAGACCCATTTTTTCTTTTCCTGGAAGTCTATTTTGACACCTACTTTCTGTCACTACCCACATTTTAGCATTTAGCCTTGTCGATTTACTCTCATCCATATGTAACTCTATCCATTTTCTTCTCTCTATTATGAACAGCAGTTTGAGCCATCATGACCAATTTTGCAGTATCTTCTTAAATTAGCCTCCTGTTTCGCATTGGACATTTTCACCCCCCAGCAATTCCACCCATTTCATTCTCGGAAAAATATAAATGAAGAGTTAGTTACATTTTTCAATAGCCATAATCATTAAATTTCCATGCATAAGAAAATGTTCAGAACAGTATCAGTGCATTTATAATAAAATTTAAAAACTTGACCCACAAACCTCTACTTGTCCTTCTAGTTTTATTTCATTTGTCTCTCGTCAATCTCTACATTCTGATCACCACAATCTTTTAATTCATCTGAAAGCTAAGCTCTCTCTTAATTTAGATTCTCTATACTTGCAATTTTGTCTACCTAGAAGTGTTTTCTTCCATCTTTGGATTGTTATTGCAAATCCATTGAATAGTTCTCATCTGAATTGTTTCTTCCTTGGGATGACTTATAAACACTTCATCCTACAGCCAAATCAGAAGACCAATATCAAAATCTTTCATCACATCCTAAATTTGCTTATATGTAATTATATGGCAAGAATCTCTTTGTCTTTATAATCATTATTCACTTATCTATGTTTTTTAAAAACTCTTCTATGTGGTGATGCTAAGCTCCGTAATGTTGGGCTTGTTACCTGTCTCAACTATCTTCCACACCTACCACAGTACCTGCTACATAGATGTATTCAATATATATTTTTAGAATTAGTAAATGATGAGCAAGCGTGTACTTTTGTTCTCTTTCATTACAGTGTTAGAAACGCTATTACAGCATTAGAAAAGATAATCAGAAAGAAAATTTAATAGATCATCAGAAAAAAATCCCAAGATTTTTAGGCAAATGAGCCTATAAACACAGGTGGAATGGACTTGCAATTTACCAAGAAATAGGTTTGTCATACTTAGAAACCAACTGTATAAACATGTTTTTATCTATTAATAACTTCATTTTCCAAAACGCTCTACTTTATATGAGACAATTCTTGATGGAAATACCATTTGCTTCTAGGCTCGTTGCTTAAACATAAAGTTAAAAATCTTTGTATGACACATAAAATTGTGGTGACTGCTTAACTTTGCAACTATAGTGCTCCTGAAATGCTCATCTAACCACTCTGTGTTCCAGACCTACAAAACTTAGATGGTGCTAAAATTGTGTAAAAATTGTGTATTTCTTCTACAACTGACTTCTGATAAAAAGGGGGCAGAGAAGGTTAACTCTCTCCCCCTTTAGCTTTATTTGCTTAGTGAATTTCTACAAAACATAATTTAAGTGCTATATTTTTCCAAGGTTTTAATAAGGAAATAAAAACCGCAATAGGTATCTTAAGCAGAAAGTGCATTTCATACATATACAATAGGAAGAGCTAAAATAACTAAAGTCACTGTGGCATGGAGGAAGGTTTTGAGTTATTGAATTCAAAGGCACGCAATCATTTCTGCAATCCTGGGTCAAAAAGATGCTCCTACTATTAAAACTTTAAGCTTCTTAGGCCCATGAAACTGGGGATTAGGCACAAGGATATTGAATCCTACCACTTCCACTACTTCTGAACTACTGTCTCCATGATTTCACTTGCCAGAATCAACAATAGCAAGACAGGCTTTGATCTCTTCCATTTTTCTAAGTCTGATTCATATGCAAACAATGGGTAAGTGGTCTAAGCTGCATTCATAAAGCTGGCTCAAGGGAAGCTGCATTGCTTGTTTTGTTTTGTTTTAATTTTCTAACCTCTTCAAAGAGTGGAACGAAGGTTGAGGAAACCTGTCCACACAGTCTACCACACACCTTCCACGAAAGGTTCCCCAACACCTCCAACAAAATAATGTAAACACATGCTGGAACCTATATTACTCTCACACCATAACACTTCCCACACTTCCCACAATACTTTTTCTCTTCATGGGAATATCCTTCCAAAACATGCTGATATCTCCTAAGCATTATTCATCTGTCGAATTTTCCCACCTATTGTAAGGTCTTCCAATTGTTAGGTTCTTAATAAACACATTTTAAATTATTAAAATTCTGAACTAATGGGTAATCAGCTGTACAAACCGAATTGCTGATTTGCATACAGCTGAAGTCCCTCCTCAAAACTTCTGTAATACATGAAACTTAGGCAAATGGTTGGGTCATTACCATATATTACTTTGTATTTTTATTTATCAGTATATGTGATTACAGTTATGCTTATGTTTATTGATACGTATATGTTAACTTTTATACATATGTACATTGTATTATTTTGTTACATAGCACAGCGTTTTGTACTCAAAAAGTGACCAATTATAATAAGCTGCATACTTTGGGAAGCATTGCAGGCTAGTCATACAGTTTTATTTTTTTTTTCCCTGCAGCCTGACAACCTCTTTAGTCATTCACTAAACCTCTCTCAGCTTCAGTTTCTTCATCTGCAACATATAGCAAATAATAAAACTTAACTCAGATGGTTCTAGTGTGAAATAATACAGAGTAAATGTGTCACCAAATACAAACCAATGGCTTGATTGACATAACTCATTGCTAATTTTCTTGAAATGATTCAAAGTATTTTCCAGACAAGCACACACTGAGGGAATTCGTCACCACTAAACGAGTCCTATGAGAAATACTCAAAGGTGTCCCAAACACAAAATGAAAGGTCAACATTCATCATCGTCAAAACACATGAAAGTAGCAAACTCATAGGTCTTGTAAAACAGTCACACAAAGTAGGAAGAGAAATCAAATAGCAACACAACAGATTTCCACCAAACCACAAAGACAAAGAGACAGACAGAAAGAAAAACAAAAAACAACAACAAAATAACCCCAAAGAACTTATAAAACAAGTAGAAAACAAATAGCAATATGGCAGAAAGAAAACCTCATGTATTCATATTAACCTTGAATGTAAATGAATTAAACATTCCACTTAAAATATATAGATTGATGTTGGGCCAGGTGCAGTTGCTCACACTTGTAATCCCAGCACTTTGGGAGGCCGAGGTGGGTGGATCACGAGGTCAGGAGTTCGAGGCCAGCCTGGCCAACATAGTGAAACCCTATCTCCATTAAAAATACAAAAATTAGCCAGGCGTGGTGGCCGGCACCTGTAATCCCATCTACTTGGGAGGCTGAAGCAGGAGAATCGCTTGAACCTGCAAGACGGAGTTTGCAGTGAGCCAAGATTGCGCCACTGCACTCCAATCTGGATGACAGAGTGAAACTCCATCTAAAAATAAAAAAAAAAAAAAAGAAAGGTAGATTGATGGAACGAACTAAAAAATGATCCAAAAATATTATGCTTACAAGAAACATATAGACACATACAGACTGAAAAGTAAAGACACATACAGATTTAAAGTAAATGGGTGAAAAAAGATACTCCATGTAATGGAGACTAAAAGCAAGCAGGAATAGCTATACTTATATCAAGTAAAACAGAACTTAAATCTAAAACAGTATAACAATGACAAAGGAGGTCATTACGTAATGATAAAGGGATCAATTCAGCAAGAGGATATAACAATTCTAAACACACATGCATCCAACACTAGACCACCAAGATTCATAAAATAAATATTACTAGACATAAAAAAGGAATAGACAGCAATACGATAATACTGGGGGACTTTACCATCGCACTCACAGCATTAAATGTTATCATCAAGACAGAAAACAAATAAACATAAGACTTAAATTCAACCTTAGATGAAATAGACCTAACTGACATTTACAGAAAATTCTACCCAGCAACTACAGAATATACATTCTTAATAAAACCGCAGTTTCAACCAACAATCCCACTACTGGAGATCTACCCAAAGGAGAACAGATAATTATATGAAAAAGGTATCTGCACCCATATGTTTATCACAGCACTATTCACAATAGCGATGTGTCCCTCAGTGGATGATCAGATTAATAAATCTGGCATATATGCGCTATAGAATACTATTCAGCTATACAAAAGAGTAAAATCATGTCTTTTGTAACAACATGGATGTAACTGGTCATTATTTTAAGTGAAACAAATCAGACACAGAAAGACAAATACTGCATGTTCTCACTTATAACTGGAAGCTAAATAATGTATACACATGGACATAGAATGTGGAATGATAGACAACAGAGACTTGGAAATTTCAGGAGGGTGGGAGGAGGGGATGATGAGAAATTATGTGATGACTACAATGTACATTTTTCAGGTGATGTATATTCTAAAACCCTTACTTCAACACTATGTACTTTATGGAGGTAACAAAATTATATTTGTATCCCATAAATTTACATAAATAAAAAATTGCCTTCTGTACTTACTTTAGCCCAGTTATTGTTAGGTTCAACATTCAGCACTTTACTTAAATTTTCTATAGCTTTCTGGACCTTTTCTTGATATTTATATATAGTAGTGTGGCACAGAAGTGCTAATATTTAACAAAATAAAAGTTATATTTTTAATAAAAAATTAATTAAAAGGTTGTAGAATCTCAGGATGGAATGCAGACTGTTACAAATTTATCTAGTTCTATTATGAACCATACAAAATAACTTCAGTGAGGGACTTAAGGGAAAGGGTGCTAGTCAAAGTGATACTGAAAATGAGTGCAGTCTCTTAAGATGAAAGGCAAAAGAAACTTGTACGAAGGCATTTAATTTAGTTGATAAAGATGTTCTTCTACTAAGGGCAGGTTAGCAAGTCTGCTACAGCTATATACATATACTGGAAGTGAACAATTAACTAAATAGATGTCACAAAGTAAGAGTCAGGATTTTTATTGTTGGAGTGGGGGTTTAGAGATACAGGAAGGCATTGATGCTTGCGGGACTAGGTTAGAGGTAGTGACATCAGTAAGAACCCATGTTTAGCTTAATATAGACATAGATGGTGATATGGTTTACATTTTGTCCCCTCTCAAACCTCTTGTCCAATTGTAATCGCCAGTGTTGAAGGAGGGGTCTAGTGGGAGGGGACTGGATTATGGGGGCAGATTTCCTCCTTGCTGTTCTTGTGATAATGAGTTAGTTCTCGCACAATCTGGCTGTTTAAAAGTGTGTAGCATCTCCCCCTTACTTCTCTTCCTCCTTCTCCAGCCATGTAAGATGTGCCTGCTTCCTCTTTGCCTTCTGCTATGACTGTACGTTTTCTGAGGCTTCCCCATCCTTGCTTCCTGTACAGCCTGTGGAACTGTGAGGCAATTAAAGCTCTTTTCTTCATAAATTACCTAGTATCAGGTAGTTCTTTATAACAATGGGATAATGGACTAATATAGATGTTTACATATAGAAATATTTAAAGATATGTGTCTATATATGTGTAAGAATATACACATTGTTTCTTTGCTCTCTCATCTTAGAGAGCTATGAAAAAACTGATACTCCCTTAGCTACAAGCACAGCTAGCACTTAAATATTGATTTCATATATAGAAAGCAGGGCGTCTTTGAAAGTGGCTGATTCTAAGAACGGGGAAGAAAATACACAAGATGAGCCTGGGACATCCTCTAGTGCCAGAAATTATGAAAATACTAACAAAAATCTATTTGGGAGATATGTCAAACAAGCACAGGGGCCAAGTGAAAGGTCTTTCAATTTCTAGAATAATTTTAGCAACACAATAAATTAATTGGTATTATATTTGGATTATACCCAAAAATGTAATTTTCCTTAGTCCATACTGATATCAATAAATGATTGAATAAACAAATGAATGAGATAAGAGAGGTAAATCTCCTCTGCAAATAATTTACATATGTATTCCAACTAAAGGAAGTCAGCTCTTAAAGACATCTTAAGCAATGCTGCAACTGAATTAGCTTTCCAAAGATACTGTCACAATTCATCTATTCCAAGACCCATACATTTCATATTTTAATATCTCCTGAAAATATAATGCATTTTACAATTCAGTGGTATGTCTTAGTTTAATTAGCCACAATGCGAATTACTTGCTTAACGGGACATAAAATAGTGCATTATACAATCTATGGGCTCTTGGACTCAAGAAAATACGACAGAAAGGAGTTTATGTTAGAGTCTGCACACTGACTAAAGATCAGAGCAGAAAGCAGATTCTAGGAACAGTCACATTTGTGGCAGTCACTGGTCTCGGCATGCAACAAAATTCAAAGTAAATAGTGGTAAGGTGGGAAATGGACAAAGCTATGTAGCTAGAATCAGAAGTCTTTGAAATCAAAACATCAAGATTCAAACTATTTAGGGGCAGTGGGGCTGACGTGGTGACCGTGGGCCTGATCAGATAAAACCTTTACAAAGAAACAGTAGCTCTCAGACTCACCTCCTGAGACAGAGTTGTTCTGAGGGGAAAATGGGTAAGTTTCTACAGTAACATACGGTACTTAAACATACAGTAAGATACAGTACTTAAAGCCCTGACCTGTCCAGTTCCCAACACATCTTCCTTGATGGGCATCTAAATGTCACCTTTTGGTTTTATTTTTGTGTTTTTCTCATCTAAGCTCTAAGAGCAAAGCCTGACAGGGTGAGCCCCCAAAGTGTGTTCATGTCTTAGAGTGTCCAGAAGCCACACAGGGAGTGTGCGAGTTTTTCATTTTCATGCCAGGGACAATGTCTCTCTTTATCGAGCTAATGGCAAGGTATGGGCCTCAGAATATGTACAGTTTGAACATATTTGCATCTTCCCTTTAATTAACTGTGAAATCTGTGAGGCTAATGAGAAGAAAATTGATGGGCAGTCGGTGGAAGAATTTTTTTTTCATTGTCATATCTTCAACTTTCCTGGGGTATAATAAGAGATGCACAGTCAATTCAGTATACTTGAAATGTGTGATGTGGTCAAATTTGAGATATATATATATGTGTATATATATGTGTGTGTGTGTGTGTGTGTGTGTGTGTGTGTGTATATATATATATATATATATATATACTTTTGGAAATATCACTACACTCACAACCATCATTATGAAAAGTTTTCTTGTGCACCTCAGTAATCAGTCTCTGCCTCCATGCTGTCTCCAGGCAGCCATTTGATTTTCCATCAGGTAACATGAGTGAGAAGAAGAAAATGTTTGTTGCAAGCTATTGAAATTTTGTGGTTGTTCACTTTTTAGAAACTCTTTGGAATTTTCTTTCTCATATCTTTATTAACATATAAAGTGTCTGTTTGGCATACTTTCAGATAATGTAAATAATATACTCAGCAATTGTTTTGTGCTGGGCTTCCATTTAATCTTTCAAGGTCATATGGATTTTTATAGCTTTAAATGTTGTGTTTGGCATCTTAAGCTCACTATCTACCTACTGACTCTTAAATCCCAAACTCTAAAGAGGTTCTGAAGATTCCAAACAATGGCTTGATAGCTTAAAGTAAAAAAAAGCTCAGGATAACTCAAATTTTGTGACTTAGCATGCTTGAGAAAGTTTTTTTTTTTTGAGACAGAGTCTCACTCAGTCACCCAGGCTGGAGTGCAGTGGCGGGATCTCGGCTTACTGCAAACTCCGCCTCCTGGGTTCACGCCATTCTCCTGCCTCAGCCTCCCGAGTAGATGGGACTACAGGCGCCCGCCACCGTGCCCGGCTAAATTTTTTTGTATTTTTTAGTAGAGACGGGGTTTCACCGTGTTACCCACGATGGTCTCGATCACCTGACCTCGTGATCTGCCCACCTTGGCCTCCCAAAGTGCTGGGATTACAGGCGTGAGCCACCTCGCCCGGCCTTGAGAAAGTGCTTTTAAGCTCCTTCCTAAATGAATGATTATTTAGTCTTGCAGTGTCCATAATTTCTTTAGGTCACTTACGGAAGTCTCAAACTTGTCTGTAACACCTGATAATAACTTCCAGTACTATTCTAAAATGTAGATTTACTTTATCACATTTTCTTCTAACTTCTACTTGCCCGTTATAACAATCTTCATTCTTCTTTTGTACTTATATTTTCTCCTTTTAAAACTCAATATCTAGGTCCTCTCTTATAATTGTGCTTAAAATTCATCCTGCAGTAGTGTCAGAGCAGGGTTTCTCAAAGTCATTGTGGGGAACTATCGTGTATATTGTAAGATGATTAGCAACATCCCTAGCCTCGACCACCAGATGCCAGTAGCACACCCTCTCTTTCACAGTTTTTTTTTTTTAATCAGAAATATCTGTACACATTGACAAATGTCCACCAGATGGTAAGAAGAATGTGGGGTGTAAAATTCCCATTTTTGAGACCCACTTGCTTAGAATGTATTAAAGACCTATAATTGAAAATACCTTGGCAAAATCTCCCAAAATTGTCTCTCAAAATAACAGTATATACAGTGTAACTAACATACACAACATCCTAAGTTATACTCATGAAAAAATCTAAGAAAAACTCTATATGATGATATTTAGATATTACAGTCACTATATTAACTATTAGGATAATGTGCCACTAATTCCCAATCGTCACGGCTTTCATGTAGTGCTTGCTCCATATTGTCTTAATGTTAATCCTTAACATACACAGCCTAACATATTTATTGATGTGAAAGTTTTTGTTTTATTTTCAACAACACGGTCTCAACCAGGGGTGATTTTCACTACCAGGGACAATTTGTCAATGTTTAGAGACATTTTAGTTTTTACTGCTGTAGGTAGTGGAGTGTGCTATTCACATCCGGTAAGTTTAGGGCAGGAAAACCGGTAAACCTCCTATAATACGAGGCTAGAGCCCACAACAAAATTATCAGGTCCAAAAATGTCAACAGTATTGAAGGTGAGACAATTTCTAGGGAGATATTACACCTTGATATTCTCATTTAATATGCTGGTAATGTAATCCAGCATTTTTCCGAAAATGAGAATAGCCTGGTGGCCTTAAATGTCATTGTTTTACTCTTATTTACATTGGACTAAAGAATGAGATCAAATGCAGCTGAATAATTTGGATATTTAAAGCAATAACATTTTTCACTAATGCGCATAGGCTTAATGCCTGGGTGACAAAATAACCTGTATACCTATTTACCTATAGGTTTAACCTATATAACAAACCTGCACATATACCCCTGAACTGAAAATAAAAGTTAATAAATAAAGTAATTACATTTGTTTAGAAATAAAATAAATTTAGAAATGGAAAATATTGTTGAAAATATTCTAAGAATTTTAAATTTATACATTAAAATAAAAATAATCTGAATATTATTACTAATAGAAAATCTTTGTCTTGATCTCAAATTCCAAGTAGAATATCTTTAGACTATCTCTAGCAATAGCTAACAGAATAAGATTTACAAACCTTGACAGATCATTTTTCATGCCTGTGTCATTTTAAAATAAACTGATGGCTGTTAAAACTTAATTTAGTTTGAGTCTCTTCCGGATCATATATATAGTTTTATAGACAGCCATGTTCAATGAAATTATAATATGTAATACAAGAAATATGCCAGATGTAAAGTAAGAATCTCTTTTAAATGCTCTGATATTCAAAAATCCTTATCAGATTTGCTAAACTAACGATTTTAAACAAAACCTTTTAGTTAAGAAAGCATTGGTCTCAATAGTAAATCTGCCAATATGAATTGCTGCATTTTATTTTTGAATTTTCTAAAGGACATCTGCCAGAGTAATTAGATATAAAGTCCTGCATGCAATCTAATAGTAGATGAAAAGTTTAAACTACCAATGATACAATATTGATGCACAGAGGAATGAATTGATTTTTTATGTTATTCTCAAATTGAAAGTCAATCTTTTTATAAAATAAATTACATTTATAAATAAATCCAAATAGTGATATTTTAGCTCACTTTTGACAGTAGGTTTTCAGTTTCTGATGTTAACAATGGCACAATTATGATTTGTTGAATGACTTTAAAGTGATCAGATAAGGAAATAATTAGGGTTTGCAGTAGCTGGAGAAAGAAAAAGAAGAAATATTTTGATATTGCATACTCAATATGGCACATTCTACGTCATAGGCTTTAATATCAGTTGACTACTCTCTTTAGAAGGAGTACGGTTTGACCTAGACCAGTTTATTTATTTATTCATTTTTGTAATAATTTTTCCTCATTCTCTTTGACACATTGGTTAACCTAAAATTACTGCGCTGCTTAGGACATTGACTGAAAATCGTAGTCTTTCAGTTTGTGGCTGCTCACAGGATTTTTTTTTTTTTGCTTTGGCTTACTAAATAATCTTTTATTGGAGTTAAAACAACAAAGCTAGTAAAGATATATAAATCAATGCCAAAAAAAAGGAGACAGGTCTACTTATATGCCATTATCTTCTGTTATTGCCATTGGATAGAAGACAGACATTATCATTTTTAATCAATTGTATACTTCATAAATATGATACAACAGATATTTTTACTTCCAAGATTATACATAGAGTTTTTATGATTCCTTTGTGAGTGTGAACTACATAGCTGTCCCTAAAACATAATTCAGAACAGAAAGGTTTTATTTTTAATTATATAATTTTCTTGCCCAAGTTATATGGATTCATAGGTTATAGAATGTATAACTTAATATACATTTTTTGCATTTTTTAAAATTTACTATATAATTTATTTGTGAAACCAAATTCGATATACAACTATGTAAACCATTAAATATGATTTGGATTAAAATAATCTTAACAGACAAATCCAAAAACACTGCATTTTATTATTTCTATTTCTAATGTTACCACCAGGTTTAAACTCCCCTAAATCATTGACTCTACCTATTATGTTTGTGTTTTGAAACATCACTCTATATTGTAACAAAACAAAAAAGGACACAATTAGTTTCATATATGTACACAAAAATTTTCAGTTTTAAATAAGGAAATATAGTTTTGAAATTTAAAAAAGTAAATGTTATAATATTTTCTCAAATAATTTACTACTCATATTCCCATTGCTTAGTTTCATTAATTTTTACAATCACATTTTACATATCCAAGATATATTTCCAGCTTTATTTTCTGAATGAACTGCTAGGATCTTAGATGAGTTTATTATTTTGCACGAGGTGCCACTGCTTGATACCTGATTGTGTGTATACCCCCTTTTTTTTTTATACTTTAAGTTTTAGGGTACATGTGCACAATGTACAGGTTAGTTACATATGTATACATGTGCCATGCTGGTGTGCTGCACCCATTAACTCCTCATTTAGCATTAGGTATATCTCCTAATGCTATCCCTTCCCCCTCCCCCGACCCCATAACAGTCCCCAGAGTGTGATGTTCCCCTTCCTGTGTCCATGTGTTCTCACTGTTCAATTCCCACCTATGAGTGAGAACATCCGGTGTTTGGTTTTTTGTCCTTCTGATAGTTTACTGAGAATGATGATTTCCAATTTCATCCATGTCCCTACAAAGGACATGAACTCATCATTTTTTATGGCTGCATAGTATTCCATGGTGTATATGTGCCACATTTTCTTAATCCAGTCTATCACTATTGGACATCTGGATTGGTTCCAAGTCTTTGCTGCCCAAGGTAATTTATAGATTCAATGCCATCCCCATCAAGCTACCAATGACTTTCTTCACAGAATTGGAAATAACTACTTTAAAGTTCGTATGGAACCAAAAAAGAGCCCGCATCGCCAAGTCAATCCTAAGCCAAAAGAACAGAGCTGGAGGCATCATGCTACCTGACTTCAAACTATACTACAAGGCTACAGTAACCAAAACAGCACGGTACTGGTACCAAAACAGAGATATAGATCAATGGAACAGAACAGAGCCCTCAGAAATAACGCCGCATATCTACAACTATCTCATCTTTGACAAACCTGAGAAAAATAAGCAATGGGGAAAGGATTCCCTATTTAATAAATGGTGCTGGGAAAACTGGCTAGCCATATGGAGAAAGCTGAAACTGGATCCCTTCCTTACACCTTATACAAAAATTAATCCAAGATGGATTAAAGACTTAAACGTTAGACCTAAAACCATAAAAACCCTAGAAGAAAACCTAGGCAGTACCATTCAGGACATAGGCATGGGCAAGGACTTCATGTCTAAAACACCAAAAGCAATGGCAACAAAAGCCAAAATTGACAAATGGGATCTAATTAAACTAAAGAGCTTCTGCACAGCAAAAGAAACTACCATCACAGTGAACAGGCAACCTACAGAATGGGAGAAAATTTTCGCAACCTACTCATCTGACAAAGGGCTAATATCCAGAATCTACAATGAACTCAAACAAATTTACAAGAAAAAAACAAACAACCCCATCAAAAAGTGGGCGAAGGACATGAACAGACACTTCCCAAAAGAAGACATTTATGCAGCCAAAAAACACATGAAAAAATGCTCACCATCACTGGCCATCAGAGAAATGCAAATCAAAACCACAATGAGATACCATCTCACACCAGTTACAATGGCAATCATTAAAAAGTCAGGAAACAACAGGTGCTGGAGAGGATGTGGAGAAATAGGAACACTTTTATACTGTTGGTGGGACTGTAAACTAGTTCAACCATTGTCAAAGTCAGTGTGGCGATTCCTCAGGGATCTACAACTAGAAATACCATTTGACCCAGCCATCCCATTATTGGGTATATACCCAAAGGATTATAAATCATGCTGCTATAAAGACACATGCACACGTATGTTTATTGCGGCACTATTCACAATACCCCATTCTTTAGACTTTTAAAATCAATACCCACTCTTCCCCACGAAACAGAGAAAGTAAAAACAACTACGAGTGGATTTCTATATCACGATGACTCATTTTCAATAGAACACTACCATAGGTCAAATGGATGAATGCATAAATAATGAATGGATTAATATCTTTTATATAATCATGTGCCACATAACAACGTTTACATCAATAAGAGACAGCATGTAAAACAATGGCTCATTAAGATTATAATAGGGTTCAAAAATTTCTATCACCATTATAGATTGATCACTCTATGAAGTTTGCACAGTAAGAAAATCACCTAACCACACACTTCTCAGAACATATCCTCATTGCTAAGTGACACAAGGCTATATTTTATTTAATGATCATGTAAATATTTGTTGAGAAAAATCTGCACTCTAAGTACCAGGATAAAAGAGATTAATAATAAATTAATGATTAAATGCACCATGATCAATCTTATCATTGAGGTCTATATGCTACATTTGGATTACATCATAAAGGCAGAGGTTAATCATCGCAACTTACACAACAGGATACAGAGTGGATCAGCAGATAATTACATAATAGAATACAGTCTGTAACCTGCAAGATGCATTAGAATTAATTAGAATCAAACCATATGTGTGACTTTGGTTTAAATGTGCAAAACCTATTAATATAGATATAGCCAGGACATTTCTATTGTGTGTGTGTATATATATATGTGTGTGTGTGTATATATATATACACACACACACATATATATATAGTGTGTGTATATATATACACACACATATACATACATATATATACACATATATATGTGTGTGTGTGTGTGTGTGTGTGTGTGTGTATATATATATACATATATATATGTGTATATATATATATTTTTTTTGTGATGGAGTTTCGCTCTTGCTGCCCAGGCTGGAGTGCAATGGCATGGTTTCAGCTCACTGCAACCTCCGCTTCCAAGGTTCAAGCAATTCTCCTGCCTCAGCCTCCCAAGTGGCTGGAATTACAGGGGCCAACCACCACACCAGGCATATCTTTGTATTTTTAGTAGAAACTGCTTTCACCATGTTGGCCAGGCTGGTCTCGAACTCCTGACCTCAAGTGATCTCCCCCCTCGGCCTCCCAAAGGTGTGAGTCACTGTACCCAGTTTGTCTTTATAAATCTTATAGAAATATTTAACTTTTAAAATCAACCACATACAATTAAGACTTTGATAAAAGTAATTAAGAAGTAAAGCAATGGAAAAAGCAATTTTTAAAAACATATATGAATGATTGAAAGCCAGGAGTAAAATTAAGAATTGTATTAAAATATCAGTATTAAAATTAGCTATATACATATTTAATTAATGCAGCTAAATTGTTAACAAACAAAATTTACAGAAGAAAAGTATGTTAACATTACTGAATCATCTTAAAATCTTATTAAAATTTAAAGTTCTTCTAAACTGAAATTATATCACAGAAAAAAATAATGTCACCTTAAAAAGTTTAGGATTAGAAATACATAATTATTTTTAAATATAGTCTTTATATATTAATTATATTTCATTAATGTCTTATTTCTTGAATAAACTTTTTTCATGATACTATTTAAGTGCCACATTCTACAATAATATGGAAAACCATTCTACAAAATGTGGCATACAGTAATTTATAGGTAGTAGAGCACACCTTTTATCTCTTTATAGCAAAAACATAATGTGTAAATTAATATAACACTAAGTCCCATATTGTCATTTTTTGTCAAAGAGCTATCTCCTTGAAAACCATCATCCTCAGATGCATCTCTAACTTAAAAAGACCTTAGAAACTGTAACAATTGTAAATGCATTATAACTTAAAGAGATATTATCTTCACATTAGAGGCTAACAGGCTTATACCTACTGATAGCTGACAAGTATTATAGGAATCCTGGCAGGCAAATTGTTGCATAAAAATTATGTAATTTACTAACTGTAAATTAACCTTTAGAGTTTAGCATCAGTCAAATAAGTAGAACAGACAATTGTTATCAAAGCCATATAAATGTCTATGAAAATTATTTTTTGCTACCCTCATTTTATCTCCGAAGAGACATCTTGTTAAAAAATGAATAACAGACACATATAAATACCTAATTACAAGCAGAGTTAAGATTAAAATTCAGCCTCATTAGGGGTGGGATAGAAATCAGTACAGTAAAGAATATTTTGGTGCAGGTAGTTTGTTTCAAACGATTCAACCTTCAACATTACTTCACTTAAATTTTAGCAAACTTTCTGCTATAATTTAAGCATACAGACCTATGCCACTAGACATATGTCCTGTGTAAGCCTGGGCTAGGGGAGCTCTATTAAATACTTACATAAACCCCAAAGATGTCCTAAGAAATAAACTTTGGAAAAACTCTGATGTGCTACAGCACGGATTTTCTCATACAGCAACAGAGCAGACACTTGAATGTAGTTATACTCCTGCTTTCCACCTCCCTGTCAAAACAATAAAAAAGGCCACAGGCCTGTGGTTCTGGCCTCCAGGGAACTGGTGGCTTCTTTAACCCACACTGCTGCTGCTGAATCCCATTTAGGTTTAGGGTTATTTTGTATATGCCTTTGTACAGGCTAAATGCTGGTCTAGTTGAAAATCAACAGAAAACAACCTTAACAGCATCTCATTTTATTGTGACTTGACTTTTTGTGTTGTTTTGTGTTTTACTTTTGGAGACAGAGTCTTACTCTGTCACCAAGGCTGGAGTGCAGTGGCATGATTATGGCTCAACCTCCAGGCTCAAGTGACCCTCCCACTTCAGCCACCTGAGTAGCTGATACCACAGGAACATGCCACCACATAAGGCTAACTTAAAGAACATTTTTTTAGATGGGATCTCACTGTGTTGCCCAGGCTGATCTTGAGCTCTTTGCCCCAAGCAATCCTCCCACCTTGGCCTCCCAAAGTGCAGGGATTATAGGTGTGAGCCACTATGCCAGGCCTCTCTCATGACTTTAAACTTGAACATGCTTTTGTGCTGTGGCCGAGTTTAGGATCCCAACCAGCCTGTGATTACTGTGGTCACCACACAGATTCCCTCTTGTTCCATCTTTTAGATTCCATCTTCTCACTCTCATAACTGTGTGGATAGTAAAACAATTATCCATACAGGTATGATATTGGCAGAGAAAATCACAAAATGTTTTAAGGAGCAAACACTTTGGGGATGGTAATAATCTTTCTACCACCTTCATTGTCTTGTTTAAGTATCTCTACATTCTTCTTTAAAAATTAGGAATATATCTTTCTTGCTCTTTCGTTGTTGTTGAACACCAGAAGGGGATATTCCTTAATTCTCCATAGCTAAGGACAGTACAGCACAATATTCCATTCAGCAGGTGAAGTCAGTATGAATGAATGCATTTCAATCAGCAAATTGCTGGTTGTGTTGCAACTCCTAGTTATGATGTTTTGCGTACTTTGAAGGGCTCCCATTAATTAAGGTATTTCTTATAAGCATTTAGAAAGATTTTTTTTTCTTGGCATGCGACTTGAAAATTTGTCCTGATATTTTCCCTGTGACAACGTTTTGTGAATTGTAACTCAGCCACTTAAGTGGCTCCTCATAATAAAGCCACATGGTATCCATGTACACATATTTAACAAATCAAACAAGTGGTTCTCAACCTAATCTCTAGAGGAGGTCCTCCTTGTTCACTTTCAATAACTATGTTGAAGAATAGATTCTAAAAAGCTATCACTAAATTTTCTAATATGTTTTGAAATTTCTGTCCACAAAATCTATAAATCAATAAATGTATAGAATAGAGCATAATAATCCAATTAACGAATTTAAGATGCCATCTAAGCAGGAATGAATGCAATAAATAGGCCTTCTTACTTCAAAATCAACTGCAGAGGTAATGCATTGCCACTAGAATTGTGTGCTGTGTTGGTAATAAATTAACAAAAACTTTGGAGATAAGAAAAATCTGCAAATAAAATGGTGTGTCATTTGTGAAATATAATCACAAAAATGTTCAGATTTTTATAGTTAACAGAAAAATTATTGTTTTTATTATCTCCAGTGTTTAACAGACACTATTCATGTATACATACAACATTCTTATAATAACTCTTGTGTCCATGTAAATAGCAGTCTTGCCAAAAAGAATTGATTATCATGTAGCAGTTTGTAAGTGTTTTCATGCACAGGCTGCAACCTTTTAGAGTGCTATTCTAATAAATTATTAATATTAACTTGATGAATACAATTCTAAGACATTTCATTTGAGGATATGTTTATTAACTATTAGGTTGGTACAAAACGCATTGCGTTTTTTGCCATTACTTTCCATAAAAAATAGAACCAGCATTTAGAAATCTACCTTCAGAAACTTAATTAAAATGAGAATTTGTCCTCTTTTACATATAGGAAGCCTGCATAATAAGCATTCTGTTGCTAGTACATAAGCTTCCCATTTTCATCAAGAACCTATACACTTCCATTTCTCTTTTACTAACTTCAATGCATGACTTCTATCTTCAAGGTGATTTCATGCTTCTAGCCACCATGTCTGTACTCCAGGACAGCAGCAGAAAGTGTAGAAAAATAAAAAAGACATACCTCCCTAATGAGTCAACTGCACTTAAGGAGCCATCTCAGAAGTTTCCCACGGCTTATTTTAATACAGCTACATCCAGATGCAAGGAATGCTGGGAAATGTGGTATTGTGCGCAGCTAAAGTTGGGATTATGTTAGTGAAAATGAGACCATGAACACTGGAAGGTTAAAAGCAATCTCTCATGACATATACAATACAGAAATTAAATTAAATCTTTAAGCAATGTGATAAACCTATGGAATGTTAACAGGCAAAAATAGCAACATTAAAAATTACAGTGAGGGAATAAGGTATGATTCGTTTGTAGATGGTTTGTGTGTCATTAATCTAGGCAAAAAGTGATAAACTCCTCTAACAGTGACCAAATGTATAAAAGAAATAATAATACACACTATGGCTAACAACATTCCATTTTGGCCTGTTTACTGTTGTTGTTAAGTCTCTATGGTTAGCATCAGAAATGTACAGTTTTGATAGCCTATGACCTCAACATGTTCAGTTTGATAGTAGAAAGGACAACATAAAGACAAACCAATCAACAAATAAGAATAAAAACTGTTAAAAAAGGACAATATTATCATAAGAACATAAGGATGTGATAATGTATTTGATATATCGTTTATTTATTGTTTTATAGTTTGATAATACATATAAATTTACTGCTCCTTCAATGTTAGAATCAATAGAATCATAGCAGAAGTAAGTAAGCAGATAAAGATCAAAATGTCACCTTTATTACTTACTGTTTGAAAAATAGTCTAAGGCTGGTTTTACAGGGTTGCTCCTATCCATCACCTGATGTGAACTTTCTTAGGAAGCTTCAGGACTACACCAAAGAACCAGAACCTGCTCCTTCACTCTGTTGCATTGTGTGGAGTGCAGGCCATCATGACTGCTCTCTACAAGAAAAAGAAAGGAAATAATTAAGAAACGCACAAAAGTTTGTGAATTGAGAATCGCAAAATAGGTATGAAATTGGTTAGCTTTCTAAATTCACCAATCTCATAACTAACACCTGTCCCCATGCAGTGCATGAGTAAAGGATGGACAGAGTCCATAATGATTATTCTAGGGAAAGCCTTCTGAGTAGAAAGAGGAGAGTTTTGCAAACAGTTTTGTACAGTTTACTCTTATTTATGCACTGATAATAAATAAGAGTTCCTAAAATTCTCTCCAGAACTCTAGGTAAATGAGATATTTCACTGCTCATGCTGTGTGACCTTCATGTCCCATCTGCCTAGACTGTAAATATGCTTTCTGAATTTTAAAAGAATTAGTATACTATGCTTACATTAAGCAAAACAGTACCCTTATTATGCAGGATCAAGTAGCACTCTCAAGATTCATGTTTATGAAAAAACACTGATGATTCTATTTTATTATGTGTCTTCTAAAGAGAAAAATACTTGTGCTCTGCCGCATAATTTTACAATGTGCTATTCTAAATACTTTCATTTAAACAAGATCATTATGAAAATGTTTTGCACACAGAAATATATTTTGAATACTTTTTTAAAAAGATCACAAAGTATATGGTCTCTGTACGTGTTCAATTATTTTAATGCTTTCACTATAACAGGAATTCTTAAAGAGGATATGTATTTGCATAATGCTGATAATCCTTTCTCATTTCTGTTTGTGCTTTGGCTGTTGTTATAACCGCTGAAAGTAGTAATTATATGAGTGTATTATCCATGATTATCTTTAGATATATGTGCATTTTCTTTAATTAAACTATAAACTCTAAATGAAAAATAAAAAAGAAGTCACCTCTTGTCTCTTTGTACAATATTAAAATTTTTTTCTTATATCCAGAGTTTCCCAAACGCCTGTTGCAAAATTTTACTTAGGGAGCAGAAAGTGGAGAATCAATATGGTAAAAAAAACTGTGTTACAGGGAAGGAGACACAGGGTAAGCATTTTCCTTATCTTCTCTCCTGTATCTACGTGCTGCACAAGCATAAATGATAGCAGTCACATGAACGAGTACTTTTCAAGAACGTAGAATATTGTGATGGAAAAAAAAACCGCTTTGAAACATCGAATAATATAAAAGCCAGTACTACTACAACTATTTTTTTACATCCATAGAAGGTAAACTATTTTTAGAGATAAAATTCCTTCTAACAGTGGTCCTGATCATTTAACCAATATTTTGATAAAAGAAGGGAAAAATGGACATTCAGTCCAAAGATGGGCATGTATTCCCATGCCCAGTCAGGCAAAACTTGTGGATGTTCTTTAAAATAACAATTCATTCAACAAATAATTTTTAAATGGCTACTGAATACCTGGAAAGGTTCTAGACACAGGGGCTATACTAATAAACAAGAAGGAACTAATTGACAAGAATGTGCTCACTGACAATGAAACATCTCCTCATGGAGCTTGAGTTCTATTTGAAAAGACAGAGAACAAAAAAATATTATTGCACAGAGTGTTAGTTATGTGTGAATTAAAAGACTGGTCAGTACTTGAAGGAGAAGGAGTGACAACAAATCTCACTTCCAGTTCTCTTTACCTGAACAGATTAATTCTATTTTGTTTCAATGCAACAGTAGTCCTACGGTTAACAAGATCCACTACACAAAGCAAACAACTTATAAAATGCATTTTTTCCTTATATTGCAAATCAATTTTAAGTGGATCTACAAATATACAATAAATAATATAAATTAGGGATCGTTTGTTTCTAAGGTAATAAGTAGATTTGTTAATTTCACATAAATAATTTCAGAAGGAGAGCAAATGTAAAAATGTGTTTTAGACAGTGGAGATGCCATTTTATTGTAAGACTATTTATAATCAAAGGTCAAAGTAATGAGCTTTCTATGTCAATGATCGTCCTTCTCTATTTCACCCAGTTCCAGACAAACCCAAGTCTTCCAAGTCTCTTCATATATCTGATCCAATAAAATCTACAATGAGTTCAGTTAGCATACATACACACACACACACACACACACACACCACACACACAAGCACACAAACACACACACACGACTGCATTGAAATACTTGCTCTAGGGAAGGAACATAGTGTATATGCAACTTGTGTACTTTCTAAGTATGGGAAGACTAATCCTTTAACAACTGCATTTACTTTCTTTCACTTCTATCGTTGCTATCTACTCCTCAGAAATCTACTTAAACAACCAATAAATATATATGATGTTGTTATGAGAGTTTTGGAAATAATTCCTAAAAATTTGCATGGCTGCCTCTTTATATTTGGCAGCTTCTATCACCCATGGGAACAACCCCTACAGAATGATCAGAATATAAAGCATGTGAGCCCTGGGTTTCTCAGGCACTGGAAGGACCTGTCAGAATCCTCTCAGGTGCGTCAAAATGGCCGGGCTTTATACCTCATCTCCATTCATGTTTGCATGTCCAGTGCTCCAGGATGACCTAACATTGAGCCAGACAATGGTTACAGCTGAGGCAAACTTTGAAGGAGCTGAGAGCTGAAGGCTGCTTTGTAATATTGCTCCTAGCAGCCAAGGGGGAAACAAATCTTTTCTTGAAGAGCGATCTGTGTCCATCGCAAAATGTTTTTTTCTTAGCTCTTGTAAAATCGAAATTGTTTGCTTTTGAATTTTTTAAAATGATTCCTTTAAGTTTCTTAATACCAAGATATCACAAGGTCAAGGAATTTTATAAAGAAGTATTTCTATTTATGTAATTTCCTAAATTTATCTATACATAAATCAGCACTAAAACATGCCTTTGATACTAACAACTTGATTGGTTTGTGAACCAAATCTGTCATGCAAATACATACGGCTGTTTTTAGATAAATTCTAAAGGTATTACCAAATCATTTAATTTTATTGTGTATCTCAATATTCTGGTTGATGTATAAGTTTAAATAGAACAAACTATTTGACATTGAAATGTTCTTTATCAAAGGAGAAGGAATACAATTTTAAAGCCACAACGAGTGACACATAGTTCTGAATGATTTATTGGCTGTCTGCCATTCTGAAATGGCTGCCAGTCAATGTTACATGTGACATCTTTCAGATAGTGTGAACTCTTTTATGCAAGTACCTTTCACTATAAAATTACAGCTGAAGATCATGACGAGAAAAGTGTGGTGTTTATCTTAATGGGCTGAAAGACCTATTTCAACAGTTACAATAATTCAGAAAAATAGTCTCAAGTCTAGTATTTCAATAATGTTATTTTCATAGATTTTAGTCTCTAAAGACAATGCTTCAGTTTTGTAGAAAATGACTTTTCTAATCATCCTGGATTTCAAAATTCTTTCCATCACTTAATATTTAAATCACTGGCAGAACTTGGCATGAGGACTAGAGAGCTGCCACCAAGCAGCCAGTCATTTTTCTTGGCTTCCCATATGCCATGCCCAGCAATAGAGCATTTCTTAGGGGCTGAGGAATAGCAGCAGTGCTAAACACAGAGATGACATTAACAGGAATGAGAGGGTCCAAGCTGTTTTCCTAGACTAATTCTCATTCAGCCTGAATCAAAGCATTTTCCTATCATTATTATAGATATTTCGCTTGTGGTATTATCTATCTTTTGGCAATGCTGATTTTTTTCTGATTATCCAAATAAGTAATGTTAATGGAAAAAATCAGATATTAGGGGAAAAAAAACTCTAGAAATAAATGTTAGCCCAAGACAGTAACAATTCAATTAATTTATATGATACCTTAGGGATTGTGTCAATTATTTTTTAAATGAACTTCTAAAAATTCAACACCTGTGTTTTCTCCTATGATTACATGTTCAACTAGGGCACAATTGTAAATGGTTGTATTTGGTTGAATTTTTAGATTGTTTATAAGTTTTACTCTCGCAGACAATAATAATGGAGTTTCTTTGAAAATAAATTTAGTTGTTCTATAACCAAGGCATAAATATTCAATTCAATAAAATTAGCAAAAATATTAAATGAAAAGTATATTATATATAAAATGCATAAATAAAATAAAATATCCTGCACTGATCATTTTATGTCTATGGTTACCCTATTGATTCTGTGCACATTTGCATGTGGGTATATATGCAATTTTATAAAATGAAGTATTCATAGTGTACATAAATTTAGTAATTATTTTACCCCTTAAAAGTATATGCAATGAGTGTCATTTACATATAAATTCTGTTAACGTGGAAGAAGAATGTTAGTCAAAAAAACTACGAATTTAACAATTTTCTGGTTAATTCAAAGGGCTTTCCAAAAATGTCTTTTAAAATTTAATTTCATTTATTTTCTCATAGCAGAATATGAGAATGAATCTATTTTGCTGCAAATTGGCTAGCAATAAATTTTTATTTTTATTATTTTAATTCTGTAAATTTGGGGAATGGAGTCTCATTCAGTATAAATATTATAATACTAATGAGATTGACTCCCTCCTTCTTAACAGTGTGCATTTTTACCCTCAGTGATTCAGTGCATGGTGTAGTGCTATAATTAAAAATGAACATTTCTTTTTTTTTAATTTAATTTTATTATTATTATACTTCAAGTTTTAGGGTACATGTGCACAATGTGCAGGTTAGTTACATATGTATACATGTGCCATGCTGGTGTGCTGCACCCATTAACTCCTCATTTAGCATTAGATATATCTCCTAATGCTATCCCTCCCCCCCCCTCCCCCCACCCCACAACAGTCCCCAGCGTGTGGTGTTCCCCTTCCTGTGTCCATGTGTTCTCATTGTTCAATTCCCACCTATGAGTGAGAACATGCGGTCCTAGGTTTTTTGTCCTTGCGATAGTTTACTGAGAATGATGATTTCCAGTTTCATCCATGTCCCTACAAAGGACATGAACTCATCATTTTTTATGGCTGCATAGTATTCCATGGTGTATATGTGCCACATTTTCTTAATCCAGTCTATCATTGTTGGACATTTGGGTTGGTTCCAAGGCTTTGCTATTGTGAATAGTGCCGCAATAAACATACGTGTGCATGTGTCTTTATAGCATCACGATTTATAGTCCTTTGGGTATATACCCAGTAATGGGATGGCTGGGTCAAACGGTATTTCTAGTTCTAGATCCCTGAGGAATCGCCACACTGACTTCCACAATGGTCGAACTAGTTTACAGTCCCACCAACAGTGTAAAAGTGTTCCTATTTCTCCACATCCTCTCCAGCACCTGTTGTTTCCTGACTTTTTAATGATTGCCATTCCAACTGGTGTGAGATGGTATCTCATTGTGGTTTTGATTTGTCCTCTCTCACCACTCCTATTCAACATAGTGTTGGAAGTTCTGGCCAGGGCAATTAGGCAGGAGAAGGAAAGAAAGGGTATTCAATTAGGAAAAGAGGAAGTCAAATTGTCCCTGTTTGCAGATGACATGATTGTATATCTAGAAAACCCCACTGTCTCAGCCCAAAATCTCCTTAAGCTGATAAGCAACTTCAGCAAAGTCTCAGGATACAAAATCAACGTACAAAAATCACAAGCATTCTTATACACCAATAACAGACAAACAGAAAGCCAAATCATGAGTGAACTCCCATTCACAATTGCTTCAAAGAGAATAAAATACCTAGGAATCCAACTTAAAAGGGATGGGAAGGACCTCTTCAAGAAGAACTACAAACCACTGCTCAATGAAATAAAAGAGGATACAAAGAAATAGAAGAACATTCTATGCTCATGGGTAGGAAGAATCAATATCGTGAAAATGGCCATACTGCCCAAGGTAATTTACAGATTCAATGCCATCCCCATCAAGCTACCAATGACTTTCTTCACAGAATTGGAAATAACTACTTTAAAGTTCGTATGGAACCAAAAGAGAGCCCGCATCGCCAAGTCAATCCTAAGCCAAAAGAACAAAGCTGGAGGCAATACGCTACCTGACTTCAAACTATACTACAAGGCTACGGTAACCAAGACAGCATGGTACTGGTACCAAAACAGAGATATATATCAATGGAACAGAACAGAGCCCTCAGAAATAACGCCGCATATCTACAACTATCTCATCTTTGACAAACCTGAGAAAAATAAGCAATGGGGAAAGGATTCCCTATTTAATAAATGGTGCTGGGAAAACTGGCTAGCCATATGGAGAAAGCTGAAACTGGATCCCTTCCTTACACCTTATACAAAAATTAATCCAAGATGGATTAAAGACTTAAACATTAGACCTAAAACCATAAAAACCCTAGAAGAAAACCGAGGCATTACCATTCAGGACATAGGCGTGGGCAAGGACTTCATGTCTAAAACACCAAAAGCAATGGCAACAAAAGCCAAAATTGACAAATGGGATCTAATTAAACTGAAGAGCTTCTGCACAGCAAAAGAAACTACCATCAGAGTGAACAGGCAGCCTACAAAATGGGAGAAAATTTTCGCAATCTACTCATCTGACAAAGGGCTAATATCCAGAATCTACACTGAACTCAAACAAATTTACAAGAAAAAAACAAACAACCCCATCAAAAAGTGGGTGAAGGACATGAACAGACACTTCTCAAAAGAAGATATTTATGCAGCCAAAAAACACATGAAGAAATGCTCACCATCACTGGCCATCAGAGAAAAATGAACATTTCAAAGACAGATTATGTGCTTCCAAATGCCAAATCATCACTAAATAGCTCTGTGGCATAGAGGAAATTTCACAACCTTTTAGTGCCCCAATTTTGTGGAAGAATGGTTAGGAGGCTATTGCAATAACAAAAGAAAATTTGAATAGCTGTATCCAACATGAAAAGATTGCTAGTAGAATTAAATGAGTTACTATAGGTAAAACAATCAGGGAAGTAATTAAAGAGAATCTGCACTAACATTGTTTTATTAATTTAAAATATCTGTACACAATCCTTTGATTCATTTGGAATTAGTTTTAGTGTATTTTAGAAAATAAGGTTTATTTTTTATTTTCTCCCAAAACAATTCTTCAAGACAACTTTTCGAACAGTAAATTCCTTCTTTGTTTATAACATGTATTTTAATAAAGTGACTTATCTTCATGATTTCTAGGACATCTGTTCTATCTAATTTATTGTTCAGCATTCGTCTGAGTATTTTCTGGGCAGCAATTAACCCCTCTGTACCTCTGAGTGCCCACATTTCCTTGATCCATTTCACCTTGCTGATGAATCCTTCTTTACTCATAGTCTAAATTTTTTTTTAGAAATTCTGAGAGTGCCCCAAACCTTGGTCTTGGGTCTTCCTTCAATCTTATTTGTCTTTCCACCTGATCTTAATTATTTACATCACATTATACCCTATCTTTATGGTGACAAATCTCAAAATTCTCTCTCTGACCTAAATTTATCATTAAAGATTTGGTTGCAACTTATTAAGAAGTCAGGTTCAATGTAATACATGCATTGTTGATTTAATATGCTCATCAAAATATTTAAAATTTTATTTGAATGCAAAAAAATAAAGCTTTTAATTTTATCTCCTATTTAATAATTTTGACAAAAACATTATACCAATCATCACTAATTATTGCTGGCTTTTAAAATATTATCTGATTAAATATTTTTGACTTTGAAAAATGGTAACAAATGCTTCTCTCTTTCTTGTCCCCTTGAACCATACTTGATATTGCTTTTTCCAAATCCGTGCCACAAGTTCAGAATATAACCTGTTAAAATATCTTCTATGTATAAACTATCTTTAAATTTTCTTGAGAGAATACTGAGTAACCAAAAGCATTGCTCCTTCACCCTACAAAAGAGAGAAAAATTTAAAAATCCCATTAATTTGTTATTTTAAATGGTAATTAAAGCTATTGTGAGGGCTCTTTTATCGGCCAAACTTGTGAACAAAAAACAGCTCAAATTTATGTGTAAATAAAATATATTGAGATGAAGCCTTTCATTCAATGTGTGATTTTCAGTTCATAAAAACACACTGATGTTCAAGAACAAAGACTGGTACGATAACTATCTACAAAATGCTTTTGTTACTAGATTTTAATTCCTTCATCAAACAGACACAGTCAAAGTTGATAGTGTCACTAGATCTAGAGGTCTATCAATATCCTTCCCACCATTTAATATGTTCTTAATCTCAGGGAAATTCTAAATCATATTCTTCTAAATTGTACAGTTGACTCCTGAACAACACAAGGTTTAGGGGCATCAAACCTCCCTAACCCCTCCCCACCACCCCAGCACAGTCAAAAACTCACATATAACTTTGGACTCCCCAAAACTAAACTAAGAGCCTAACTGTTGACTGGACAATCCTTAACACATATTTCGTATGCTGTATGTATTTTACACTGTAGTTTTACAATGAAGCTAGTTACAGAAAAGAAAGTGTTATTAAGAAAATTATAGGGAAGAAAAAATACGTTTACAGTACTACAGTATATTTATTTCTCTCATAAGTTTACAATCCTGTGTTTACAAGATGGATCCTTCTTCTGAAATGGCGGCACACACAGCTGCAGACCTCAACCTAGGGTACCTATCAAGCAATTCATTTTTTTCCTGTAATGTCAGGACCCTTCTCTGTTTCCTGGAAGAACTTTCAGCATCACTAGCAGCACTTTCTACAGGTCTGAAGGTGTTATTCAAGGTTTATGGTATTGCACTAGACATCATGAATAATACAGGAGAAACATGAGAGATCACTTTTTACTGTGTTAATTTACTGGAGAGACAAGCTACTCACAAGAAGATGATTAGCATTATGTGGCATTTTAAGTGAATACTCACAACACTTGAGTTCACTGCAAGAACAACAGGTGGAGGCTAGGAAATTATCCCAGTAGTACAGTATGTACTGCAGTTAATTTTGTGCAGTTATGATTTACTTTTGTGTATTTTTGTTTTACTTTTCTCTAAACTTCAATTGGCTGCATGTATGCTCTGTGTGTGCCTACATCTTGATAAATTTTAACTTTTTATAATAGATGCATATATATTTCATTGTATTAAATGATCACTAGTATCTACATATAATTTATGCATTCATGACTTATCATTTCCTTAGTTTTTTAATATTTCTCGTGTAGATGGGTCACCTGTTATCTTTTTCAATTTTTCATAAATCTCCAAAAATTTTCTAATATATTTATAGGAAAAAATCTACATATGAGCAGACCTGCACAGTTCAAACCTGTGTTGTTGAGGAGTCAACTATATATTATAATTTAAGAGAGGATTCAACTCTTTCATTCTACTGGCAATGGGTTAACATAAACTTTAGTCAAAACTGCTGAGCTTTTCTGGCACAATGAGGACAAATTGACCAATGTATTTAACCAATAGCTGGGGGAAAATTTTGCTAAAATTGGTAAGTATATCTTTATATAACTATATCCTTACAACTTGTCTCAACCTTCGTCAGATTAATCCTAGCAAAACTGTAAAATGTCTCAGTAAAAATCTAAATGAATTTTTCATAACAAGTGCTGGCAATAGATTTTAAATATGTTCTGATCACTATTTGTCTCTTGTTGGCATGGAGAAAATCCTTTTTTTTTTTTTTTCAGCCTGGGGAATCCCAAACTATATCTCTAGTAACAAGGAAACCATTTTACTGGAATTTTTATTAACTAACATGGAAAAGTTTTGCCAATTAATCAGACTTCACTGTCCATATCACTTTCAACCTTTTGGGAAGGTAGAAAGATGGAATTCTGAAACTAAAGTTGGTAAAGTTCACAGAGATCGTCCAACTTGCATGGTCTAAGGTATTTCTTCTTTCTGCGGTTCATGAGTTAGTAACAGCTAAACCAAGTGTCTAGGAATATTAGCTCTGATTCTAGAAATCTACACTTATTTAACTAAATGCTGTAAGGACTCAGGAAATCCATTCTTTCAACAAAAGTTACTGAAGACTTTCCCCATTAGTATCCTAAACAATGTCTGCAAAATTGGTTTTCATACCTGGATACCTTGTCTTGTAAGAGACACGGCAGAGAAAGATCATAGGAAAAAAGTCAATATCAGGCACAGCTAACAACTAGCAAACCCACAGTCTTTAAAAGACTGATCCTTTGATTCCTATCTCTCAAGTAAAGAGGTTTAGGTCATCTTCATGTTACAGGAAAGTATCCCTACCAAAAACTTCTAACTAATGACTCTTAGGATTCTTCCAAAAGCAAATAGTCTTTGGGAGAAGACAGCTTCCATCAAATGCCTTTGGATCAAGTGAATCACTATATGAGATATCGGTATCTGCAAACCAAGATCCACATAAAAAGATCCATTGTTTGTCATATTTAATCTGTATATCTTGAGTTTTCATTTTCCTAGTTAACTTTTTTTTATCTTTTTATGCTTAAGGTTACATTTAATTACTTTACCTATAAAGCTACTATTCCTAATTCCTCTATGCCGTCCTTAGTCACTCTCTAGAAGAGTCCGGAAGCTGGCCGTAATTTGTTCACAATTTGGCTAAACATGCAGTTGAATCAGTGCTAAGCTGCACACATTTTCCTTAGGATGCCAATTAGAGTTTTTTTTTCTTAACATCGATTCCTAAATATGAAACATCTGGGTTTATCAATAATTGGACTCACTATTTATTGTTATTTTATCTGACAAACAGCAGAGTATTAGATAAATAGAAATCTTAAATCCTAACATGCTGCACCCAGGAAACAAAGCTTATGCCTACAGCAGAACAGCACTTAGGGATCTTTAATAGAATGCAACTTCTGTCACTAAACCTTTAGAAAGAAATGTCTTAAAAAGAAGAGAACAAATGGCACATACTTAATTCATTTCTCACATTTACATATCATAAAAAATTCTTATTACATATTCAAGCTCCTATCACATCTACCTCTTCCTCTATGTGATAAGGTCTTCATTTTATATCCCCAAAAGTGATTAACAGCAGAATGGAGCTGAAAGCAATCAATAAACTCAATCAACCTTAATGACTGCTACTGGATTTGTGGTACCAGAACCTATTGATTATTACAGCAATCTTGACATAAACTAACATATTGATGTGGTAGTCGGAATAATGGCTCTTCAGAGATGATGGGGTCCTAATCCAGATAATTTATAAATTTGTTAGCTTACCTGGCAGGACAGAGTTTGCAAATGCAATTAGAGTTAAGGATTTTGAAATGGAGAGACTATCATAGATTTTTAGATGGCCAAATGCAATCATAAGATTCTTTACATGTAGAAGAGGGAGATATAAAAGGAGAATGTGAAGACTTGCTCCTTCATTTGTAGCTTTGAAGGTGAAGGAAAGGAACTGTTATGAACCGAATATTCGTGTCTCCCTAAAATTAATCTATTGAAGATGATTGGCATTGTTCAAATATTAATAGATTATTTTCAATAATCTATTAATTGGCAGTGTGATAGTATCTGGAGATGGAGCTTTTGGGAGGAACCTAGGTTGAGATAATGTCATAAGTGTGGTGTTCTCATGATAATGTTAGTGTTCTTATAAGAAAAGGTGGAGATACGAGACCACCTCCCACCCAACCACCCTTCTCTTTCTCTCTCCATAAACATGTATCCAGGAAAGGCCATGTGAACAGAGAGAGAAGGAGGCCATCTACTAACCAGAGAGGGAGTGGGCCCTCCCCATGAACCAAATATACCAGCACCTTAATCTTGGACTTCCCAACTTTCAGAACTCTGAGAAATAAATGTCTGTTGTTTAAGTCACCCGGTCTACGGTATTTTCTTACAGTATTCCAAGCTGCCCAAGACAGGGAACATGCATCAGAGAATGCAGCTGGATTCTAAAGCCTGGGAAAGGCCGGGTCATGGATTATTCCACAGAGCCTATAGAAGGAATGCAGTCTTCCAGTGCTTTGATTTTAAATCAGTAAGACCTGTGCTGAACTTCTAACCTGGAATACTGCTAGACAATAAATTTATGTTGTTTTAAACTACTAAGTGTATTGTAATTTTTATAACAGCCACAGGAAAATAATACATTTGGCAAATCAGTGCATGTTTCATGATGGTCAATGATATGCCCCAGGGTCCATCTTAGCCATGATTTCTATCCCTTCAGAAACCAAAACAAAATAAAAAAGTAAAACAAAAAGACCAATTTTACTATATAACTTGATTTTTTAAAATATTTTATATTTACTTAATCCAGTATATCCAAAATATTGTCATCTCAGCATAAAACAATGTTAAAATTATTCCGTTTTACATTTTTTAAACTAAATCTAGTTTGTATCTTACATATAGCATAAATCAATTCAAATTCACCATATTTCAAGTGTTCAATATCTACATGTCACTAGTAATGACTGTAGTGGACAGAATTGATCCAGATTTCCAAGTGTATTGGTATAAAACTAACCATATTTTTATCTTATTAAAACAAAACAAAACAAAACTCCTCCATAACTATGTCTATGTTCCTTCTGCTTTTATTAACATTGAACATATTCTTGTTTTTAATCTAATTTTGTCTGTATTTAGGTCTATTTTTTGGTGGTGTTATCTCTTGTATGCTTGGCATCAACTTTTTTTTCAATTTCTTAGACTATCTAAACTATTATGCTCTAAGTTTAGCTCAATTTCAATCAGCTACTCACTTGAAAGACTCATTTAACTCTCTTAAGCCATTCTCCACAAACATGAAAAATCTTCCTCTCACTGTTCCCTGCTGAAACACTGCAAAAGTATGTCAAAATGGTGTACTTTCTTGGCACAGGGTTTCGATAAACTTAGTTTTGCTTTAATAACAAATTATCTGAATATATTTCAGGGAGGTCCACTGGCAAAAGCATAAAATAATGTTAGTTCAGGTCATCTTTTGTAAAGTTATGATTGTGCCATAGTATCAATTCTTGTCAAAATTTATGACTTCAAAATCAACTTAATATGCATCAACATAGATATTTTTTAGTAATTCTAGACTCCAGGTGCTCATTTAAATAATATGGGTACATAAGACTGAACAAAACCAGTTGCTATTGAATGTACATTTTAGAGAAATACTTCATACACAGCTGTGTTTTGTTAAATAAGGAACTTCACGACACAATCAATATCATGGCAGCATACAACTGTTTGGTTAGTATGTCTCTTTAAACAAGCACATATGCTCATTCATGGAGTGTGTATTTGTATCTGTGTATGGTCTGTGTGGTGAAGCAGCAAGCAATAATTGGATGTCTTAATTATCTAACAGGAAAAAACACCTAAATAATCAAAAGAAATTGTGATTTATTTATTAGTTCGACTGAGCTTTTCTCTTGAATGTAACACAGATGGTCCCAGATTTACAATGGTACAACTTTACAGCTTTATCATGGTACAAAAGTGGTAAACATTCAGTAGAAACAATACTTTTATTACCCATATACCCATTCCGTTTTTCACATTCAGTATTTAATAATGTACATGTGATATTCAACACTTTATTTAAAAATAGGCTTTATGTTAGATATTTTTTTTTGGACTGGCTAATGTAAGTGTTCTGAGCACATTTCTTAAGTGTATTTTTGTTTAACACTTTAAGTTCTAGGGCACATGTGCACAACTTGCAGGTTTGTTACATATGTATACATGTGCCATGTTGGTTTGCTGCACCCATTAACTCATTATCTACATTAGGTATTTCTCCTAATGCTATCCCTACCCCATCCCCCCACCCCACAATAGGCCCCAGCATGTGATGTTACCCACTCTGTGTCCAAGTGTTCTCATTGTTCAGTTCCCACCTATGAGTGAGAACACACGGTGTTTGGGTCTCTGTCCTTGCGAAGGTTTGCTCAGAATGATGGTTTCCAGCTTCATCCATGTCACTACAAAGGACATGAACTCATCATTTTTTATGCCAGCATAGTATTCCATGGTGTACATATGCCACATTTTCTTAATCCAGTCTATCATTGATGGACATTTGGGTTGAATAGTGCCGCAATAAACATACCTGTGCATGTGTCTTTATAGCAGCATGATTTATAATGCTTTGGGTATATACCCAGTAATGGGATCACTGGGTCAAATGGTATTTCTAGTTCTAGATACTTGAGGAATTGCCACACTGACTCCCACAATGGTTGAACTAGTTTACACTCCCACAAACAGTGTAAAAGCATTCCTATTTCTCCACATCCTCTCCAGCACCTGTTGTTTCCCGACTGTTTAATGATCACCATTCTAACTGGTGTGAGATGCTATCTCATTGTGGTTTTGATTTGCATTTCTCTGATGACCAGTGATGATGAGCATTTGTTCATGTGTCTGTTGGCTGCATAAATGTCTTCTTTTGAAAAGTGTCTGTTCATATCCTTTGTCCACTTTTTGATGGGTTTGTTTGATTTTTTCTTGTAAATTTGTTTAAGTTCTTTGTAGACTCTGGATATTAGCTCTTTGTCAAATGGGTAGATTGCAAAAATTTTCTCCCATTCTGTAGGTTGCCTGTTCGCTCTGATGGTAGTTTCTTTTGCTGTGCAGAAGCTCTTTAGTTTAATTAGACCCCATTTGTCTATTTTGGCTTTTGTTGCCATTGCTTTTGATGTTTTAGTCATGAAGTCCTTGCCCATGCCTATGTCCTGGATGGTATTGCCTAGGTTTTCTTCTAGGGTTTTTATGGTTTTAGGTCTAACATTTAAGTCTTTAATCCATCTTGAATTAATTTTTCTATAAGGTGAAGGAAGGGATCCAGTTTCAGCTTTCTACATATGGCTAGCCAGTACCATTTATTAAACAGGGAATCCTTTTCCCATTTCTTGTTTTTGTCAGGTTTGTCAAACATCAGATGGTTGTAGATGTTTAGTGTTATTTCTGAGGCCTCTGTTCCATTCCATTGGTCTATATCTCTGTTTTGGTACCAGTAAAATGCTGTTTTTGTTACTGTAGCCTTGTAGTATAGTTTGAAGTCAGGTTGCATGATGCCTCCAGCTTTGTTCTTTTTGCTTAGGATTGTCTTGGCAATATGGGCTCTTTTTTTGATTCCATATGAACTTTAAAGTAGTTTTTTCCAATTCTGTGAAGAAAGTCATTGGTAGCTTGATGGGGATGGCACTGAATCTATAAATTACCTTGGGCAGTATGGCCATTTTCACGATATTGATTCTTCCTACCCATGAGCATGGAATGTTCTTCCATTTGTTTGTGCCCTCTTTTATTTCGTTGAGCAGTGGTTCGTAGTTTTCCTTAAAGAGGTCCTTCACATCCCTTGTAAGTTGGATTCCTAGGTATTTTATTCTCTTTGTAGCAATTGTGAATGGGAGTTCACTCATGATTTGGCTCTCTGATTGTCTGTTATTGGTGTATACAAATGCGTGTGATTTTTGCACATTGATTTTGTAACCTGAGACTTTGCTGAAGTTGCTCATCAGCTTAAGGAGATTTTGGGCTGAGATGATGGGGTTTTCTAAATATACAATCACATCATCTACAAACAGGGACAATTTGACTTCCTCTTTTCCTACTAGAATACCCTTTATTTCTTTCTCTTGCCTGACTGCCCTGGCCAGAACTTCCAACACTATGTTGAATAGGAGTGGTGAGAGAGGGCATCGCTGTCTTGTGCTAGTTTTCAAAGGGAAAGCTTCCAGTTTTTGCCCATTCAGTATGATACTGGCTGTGGGTTTGTCATATATAGCTCTTATTATTTTGAGATATGTTCCATCAATACCTAGTTTATTGAGAGTTTTTAGCATGAAGGGCTATTGAATTTTGTCAAAGACCTTTTCTGCATCTATTGAGATAATCATGTGGTTTTTGTCTTTGGTTCTCTTTATGTGATGGATTACATTTATTGACTTGCGTATGTCGAACCAGTCTTGCATCCCATGGATGAAGCCAACTTGATCTTGGTGGATAAGCTTTTTGATGTGCTGCTGGACTCGGTTTGCCACTATTTTTGTTAAATGTACTAAATGCATTTTTTACCTAAAATATTTTCAACTTATGAGTATATCCAGATCCATCATAACACATCTTGGCCTGTGGTTATCAGGATGTAACTCATTATAAGTCGAGGTAGATTTGTATTATATCCCATGTACACACACACACACACACGCACGTGCACACACACACACACACACACACACACACACACACACAGACTTAATCTGTTTACAGAAATAAAAGGAATAAAATACCATTTCTATTATACACCAAAACTAGCCATCTTGACAGATACTTCACTCTGAAAAATAACATTTTATAGCTACTTTACAGATTAGTATAAGAATTTGGTGTTTCTGTTTCAGAGATTCGATTTCACATTTCAATAAGTAGGCCGCTCCCTCTGCTAAGCCTGGGAATGTAATTCTTTTGAAAAATTATCTGTGCTGTAAAATTACATGTCATATTGGGAAAAGGACAATCGCAAACAGTAGTCACACATAAAATCAAGCAACACAGACATCCTTTTCACATACAGTGAAGACCCTTGTCAATTTTGAGATTACACAGGAAAACAGAATGGGGGACAAGTGTCTCTGACACACAGAAAATCCCTTGAAGAACTCAGCTGACACAATCAAAACATACACAAAACTGAAAGAAACAAGGTGAGTGCTTTTTATATTAGTTCAGCTGTCAAGAAAGTGTAAAATAAACCTAACATTTTTTTACTAAGTGAGGATTTTCTTTTTTGAAACATCATTATTTATATTTATCCAGTTTGCAACTTCATCAGCTGAATCTCAGGATGTGTTCCATGACACTGAAGGACAATTAAATCATATCCATGACAATATATGAGAAGCTGACAGGAGAACATGGTGGCATTTGAATTAATGTCTATCATTAGATAGAATTTCTGATCACATAATTTAAGTTGTAGTTTTCCATACAATTTAATCAAGATAAGCACTTACTAGGTTAGTGATATAGTTTGGCTCTGTGTCCCCACACAAATCTCATGTTGAATCGTAATCCCCACGTGTCAGGGGAGGGGTCTGGTAGGAGGTGATTTGATCATGGGGGTGGATTTCCCATACTGTTCTCGTGACAGTCAGTGAGTTCTCACAAGATCTGATGGTTTAAAAGTGTGTGGAACTTCCCCCTGGCTCTTCTCTCTACTGACACCATGTGAAGAAGGCGCCTGCTCCCCCTTTACCTTCTGCCATGATTGTTAGTTTCCTGAGGCCTCCCAGTCATGCTTCCTGTTAAGCTTGCAGAACTGTGAGTCAATTAAACCTCTTTGCCTCATAAATTACCCAGTAGTTCTTTATAGCAGTTTGAGAAGAGATAAATACAGAAAATTGGTACCACAGAAGTGGGGCATTGCTATAAAAATACCTGAAAATATGGAAGTAACTTTGGAACTGGGTAACAGGCAGAGGTAGGAAACAGTTTGGAGGACTCAGAAGAAGACAGGGAGATGTGGGAAAGTTTAAATCTTCCTAGAGACCTGTTGAATGGTTGTGAACAAAATGCCGATAATGATTTGGATAACGAAGTCCAGGCTGAGGGGGTCTCAGATGGAGATGAGGAACTCACTGAGAACTGAAGAAAAAGTTACTCTTGCTATGCTTTAGCAAGGAGACTGATAGCATTTTGACCCGGCCCTAGAGATCTGTGTAATGTTGAACTTGAGAGAGATGATTTAGGGTATCTGGTGAAATAAATTTCTAAGCAACAGACCTTCTAACATGTGGCCTGGCTGCTTCTAAAAGTTTATGCTCATGTCCATGAAGAAAGAGATGGCTTGAAACTAAAACGTATATTTAAAAGGAAAGCAGAGCATACAAGTTTGGAAAATTTGCAGCCTAACCATATAGTAAAAAAGAAAAACCCATGCTCTTGGGAGAAATTCAAGCAAAAATTTGCATAAGTAAAGAGGAGCCAAATGTTAATAGCAAAGACAATGTGGAATATGTCTCCAGTACATTTCAGAGACCTTTGAGGCAGCCCCTCCCATTATAAGCCTGGAGGCCTAGGAGGGAGAAATTGTTCAGTGGGCTGGGCCCAGGGCCCTGCTGCTCTGGGCAGCCTCGGGACATGGTGCCCAGTGTTCCAGCTGCTCAGCTCCAACTGTGGCTAAAAGGGACCAAGGCACTACTCAGGCCATTGCTTCAGAGAATACAAGCCTCAAGCTTTGGTGGCTTCCACATGAGGCTGGGCCTGTGGTTGTGCAGAAGGGAAGAGTTGAGGTTTGGGAACCTCCATCTAGATTTCAGAGGATGTATGGAAATGCCTGGATGTCTAGGCAAAAGTCTGCTGCAGAAGTGGAGCCCTTATGGAGAACCTCTACTAGGGCAGTGCAGAGGGAAAATGTGGGGTTGGAGCCCCCACACAGATTCCCCACTGGGGCACTCCCTACTGGAGCTTTGAGAAGAGGGTCATAGTGCTTCAGACCCCAGAATGGTAGATCCACTGACAGTTTGCACAGTGTGCCTGGAAAAGTCACAGGCACTCAATCCTAGCCTGTGAAAGCAGCTGTGGGGGCTGTGCCTTGCAGAGCCACAGAGGCAGAGCTGTCAAAGCTCATGGGAGCCCAGATATTGCATCAGTATGCTCTGGACGTGAGAGATGAGGTCAAAGAAGATTGTTTCAGAGCCTTAAGATTTAATGACTGCCTTGTCGGGTTTTGGACTTGCATGGGGCCTGCAGACCCTTTGTTTTGGCTAATTTCTCCCTTATGGAATTGGAGTGTTTACCTGACCCCTGTACCCCCACTGTATCTTGAAATTAACTAACTTGTTTTTGATTTTACAGGCTTATAGGCAGAAGGGATTTGCCTTGTCTCAGATGAAACTTTGGACATGCACTTTTGAGTTAATGCTGGAATAAGTTAAGACTTTCAGTCTGTTGGGAAGGCATGATTGGTTTTGAAATGTGAGAAGAAGGACATGACACTTGGGAGGGGCCAGAGGAGAAATCATATGGCTTGGCCCTCTGTCCCCACCCAAATCTCATCTCAAATTGTAATCCCCTCATGTCAAGAGAGGGGCCTGGGTGGAGGTGACTGGATCATGGGAGCAGATTTCCGCATGCTATTCTCATGATAGTGAGTGAGTTCCAAGAGATCTGATGGTTTAAAAGTGTGTGGCACTTCCCTCCTTGTGCTCTCTCTCTCCTGGTGCCATGTCAAGAAGAACCTCGTTTCCCCTTTGCCTTCCACCATGATTTTCTGAGTTTCCTGAGTCCTCCCATTCATGCTTCCTGTAAAGCCTGAAGAACTATGAATCAATTAAATCTCTCTTCTTCATAAATTACTCAGTCTCAAGTCATTCTTTATATCACTGTGAAAATTGACTACTACGGTTAGCAATCTTAAAGAACACTTGTGATTTTGAGAATCAGGCACATATTTTTTTAATAATCGGACTGCTTATAATTGTTTAACTCCTTGCAACTTATAGTTAATGCCTAAAACTTTGATGACTTTCATTACATTTCAATGGCCCTGTTCCCTTATAGCAAACTACCTTTTTTACTGTACTTACTGTAACTACAGTGCATTTATTTTCAGCCCAAATAGTATTCAGTAATAAGCATTTCTTCCCACATAAGAATAAGTTATATTCCTATTCACTATATTCTAGAATTTCTATTTTCCTTCCACAGTGCCAGCTAAAATTAAAGTGGAATAATCTATCGGGGCCCTGTGTATTTAATGTTTGTTTTCTTAGTATATTATAAACACTGTGAAGGAAGGAAATCCTTGCCTCTTGTTTATACTTTTATCTCCATTATAGAAACACTCTGCATTATTTTCTTACTGCTGCTGTAGCAAATTACTACAAAGTTAGTGGTTTAAAATAGCACAAATATAGTGTCAAACAATTGTGTTTGTCAGATGTCTGACATGCATCTTATGAGGCTAAAATCAAAGAGTGAGAACTGTTGTGTTCCTTTCTGAAGGTTTTAGGGGAAAATCAGTTTCCTTGACTTTTCCAGCCTCTAGAGGCTGTCCTGATTTGTTAGCTTGTGGTCTTTCATTTGTTCAAACCAGAAATGCTGTATCTCTCTGACCATTCTTTTGAAATCATATCACCTTATGTTTCTAGCCAAGAATGTTTCCCTATTTTAAACCCATTTGATTACACTGAACTCAAAAGGACAGTTTTTCATCTTACCATCCTTAACATTATAATACTTGCAAAGCCCCTTTTACCAGATAAAGTTAACATATTCACAGGTTCCAGAAATCAGGACATGTGGTTTTTTGTTGTTGTTCTTGGTTTGTTTGTTTTGTAAACCATTATTTTGCTTACTATACTGTCTTAACTGGAGGAAGCAACTTCTTCGAATAGGTGAATTAATTTCAAATTGATAATGTGGTGATTCTCAATGAACATTAAAGAAATCAACTATTACACCAAACATTACTTTATTGAGCTAAACAAATATTAACTGACTATATAAAATTCATTACACATTTGGAGATAGAATTTTGTACTTTTTAATAAGACTTTTTACATTTTTTGCAATCCTTTTTCTTATTTAAAAAATCAGTACTGTATTAGTACCCACAATATAAGTTTGTTCTAAGAATCAAATGAGATAAACATTTCAAACACCTATCATAGTACCAAGTTCATATCGTAAGCCTAAAATATCAGATGACTTTTATTATTTTCAGAATGTAGTCAAAATCAACATAAAATTACATTAACACTTGGTTTACTGTATTATAATGCTAGCTTTGTGTCATATCTATCTAGAGAGTACACTGAATGGCTTAAACCAAGTAGAAGGTGATTTCTTGCTTACATATCAGTTTACCATAAGTAATTTTGGCTAAAGAAGCATCTTTCCTGCAAAACATAATTCAAGTTAATGAAGGATCTACTATTATCAAATTGTATCTTCCCAGATTACTTTGTATATATCACCATTCCAGAAGACAAAAGACTACTCATGAAATACAATTTGCACACTTCTTTATATGTGAAAAATTCACTTCTCTTCACTCTGTAAACAACTTAAAGTTTTGCCCAGTTACTGCCTACAACTTAGAGTTCAGGATGTTTCATGACGTGCAGTTCTCTCCCTTAGGCCACTATATGACTTAACGAGGACTAGTGTCCTATCAAGTCAAAAGACAAATTATCTGTAAAATCTAAGTTACCATGGTGAAGCTCCTATCAGAAGACAAAGAAGTCTGCATAGCACTGACAAAAATATTTCTGAGCAGTACAAATATTTATTTCATGAAACCATAAACATGTCCTGTGGAAATAACTTTAAGGTCCATTGTCCCTGTGGCTCACAGATTTACTTTCTGAGGTAATTTACATTTTCTCTTATTCTCCATGCCTCCATCTTAAATTAGAACAATGAGTGTTTTCTCAGCATGACTAATCAATTGCACTGATTAGTGCAATTTGGGATGCTTGAGGATATTTTAAGCCTTAATTTTTTTTCTCACAATAGGCTTATTATACCTTTACCAAGTAGTTACGTGGAAAACATTTATTTATTTATTGGATCTAGTTGATAACCAAACATACAGTTCTTTCCTAGGTATAATTCTAAAGTCTGCCTCATTTCCTTGTTTTTTCTCCTCCCCAACACACATATGCTTCTCTGACTGTAAAGATGACCACTTTAAGGTCATTTGAGATCATGGACGTGAAAGAGAAAACAACTTCCCTGATTAGTTCTTTGCTTCAGGGCTGGGTTCCTTGTTTTTTATGAACACAGTAGGATTTAATTTCTGAGCAGCTTTTTCAACCTAATCAGAAAAACCTGAGCTTTTCTGTCACTGTATAATTCCACCATTACTAGACCTTTTGTTTACAAGTGGTTTCCAACAAGGAATGATTTTGTTTCCATAGAACACTTGTCACTGTCTGGAGACATTTTGAATTATAATGAATAGGTGGTGATGCTACTGGTATGTGGTGGTATAGCCTAGAGATACTATTAATATCCTACAATGCAAAGAATAACCTCCCACAGAATGCAGGAATATCAGGCATAAAATGTCAATAATGCTAAGGTTTAGCAACTCAACTCTATCCACTTTCTTCCCACTCTAAAGACAGGATATTTCCTTTTTTTTTTTTTTTTTTTTGCCTGTGTTTATCTATTTCTTGGATTATGGAACAGAACAAACATGAACACATTACCTTTTGCCTTTCCTCATTTCCCACACTCTTTCCTAGAGGTAATATTAAGCTTCCAATTAATTTTAGATGGTAGTTTCAATAATTTTTTTTCACTGGGTATTACAAGTCTTCATTTCAACCCTCTGAGTTTGGTTTACTTGTCCATTTAATACTAATTTAGTGGATATGTTTTAGGTGCTGTTATAGCAGACCCAACTCAAGCTGGTGATTTCTACATTACTTGGAATAGTACTAGTTGCTTTGACAACTACACTCAACAACATATAATATCTTAAACAGAACAGAAGTTTCATTCATATAAACTGTTTTTTTAAGATAGGAAAAGCATTGCTCCTTTATGTCCGCATTCAAGAACATAGGCTACTAAGCTATTTAATCTGCAGTATGTTGCTTCCAAGACTACTGTAGAATTGGCCATTCCAGTCAAGCATACTGAAAAACGTATACAGAAGAGTGCATGTTGGGATTTTGGAGACTAAATTGGATATAAAATATGTTATTTCTACTAATTTTCCACTATTTTGACTTTAATCCCATGCCCTAATATAAAGTATATAAGAATGAGAAATATAGTTTATGTATCTATCAAAATAGAACATAAATGTTTGTGAACATTTGAATCTGTCAGCTTCTCTTGCTCACGTGCCTGTAGTGCCTGTACTCGGGATGCTGAGGCAGGAGAATCGCTTGAACCCAGGAGGTGGAGGTTGCAGTGAGCTGAGGTCACACCACTGCACTCCAGCCTGGGCAACAGAGCGAGACTCCATCTCAAAAAAAAAAAAAAGAAGAAGAAAAAGAAGTGACTCAACTGATTGATGTGTAAAACCTCATTGTAAAATAATGTTCTATAAATGAGACATTCATGCAGTTAAATTTTTGGATTAAAAAAGTCTGCCACTTTGTGAATATGTTTTATTTAGGCTTGATTTAGTTAATTTTCTTTTTTCTTTTTCTTTTTTCTTTTTTTTTTTTTTTTGAGGAGTTTCACTGTTGCTGCCCAGGTTGTAGTGCAGTGGTGGGATCTCGGTTCACTGCATCCTCCACCCCGCCAGGTTCAAGTGATTCTCCTGCCTTAGCCTCCTGAGTAGCTGGGATTACAGGCACCCACCACCATACCCGGCCAATTTTTTGTGTTTTTAGTACACACGGGGTTTCACCATGTTGGCCAGGATGGTCTCGAACTTCAGACCTCAGGTGATGCGCCCACCTTGGCCTCCCAAAGTGCTGGGATTACAGGCATGAGCCACCGCACCCAGCCAGCTAATTTTTCTATTAACTAAGACCTAATTAAGATTGAGGCAGAAGAAATGGGTCCTTGGGATTTGAAAATTAGTATTCAATTTGGAAGTTTAATTTGCAACATAGATTGTTTGTTATTAAATTACTAGATATAATATCACAAAGGCGGAAAGAAAGGTTGCTTAGTTAAAGATCTAAGTTACTAGTCATGGTGTCAGATATAGAGAATGATTGAAGGTTATTAGAGTCACACACCAGATGAGTAAATTGTTGTTTTCAAGGAAGAGGTTACATAAAGGTAAGCGGAGTAATATTTTAGCATTTTTGTTAATTAAAAATTTGTGAAGTTATTTACATTTCAAGGAAATTACTCTCAGTAATTTTACGGGTAAAATGACAAATTCCAAGTTTAATTTTCACATGTAACACCCTCCTTGAGCACTTATTTTTATGAAGCTATTAGTCTATTTTGGTCTCAATTTACCTTTCTTTAAAGAGATTTTAAAATTTTCTGAAAGAAGTTGAGATCTGGAAGTGTAGCTGTTCTATTTTTCAATTTTTAATTACATATTTAATTATCCTTTAATTACTTAAGGTTATTCTCAAAAGCGAAGAGATAGCTGGGATCACACTGCGTAAGATTTTACTCCTGAATGTAATATTCAAAAATGTTACAAAGTCTATCAAAGAGGTTTTCATTCTGTGACAATAGATGGTCAATTTGACATGGTCAGGAAGCACCACCCCCACTGAGAGACACCAAATTATGGAGTAAACCACCGTAATTTAGGCAGATCTTGAGAGAGAAAATGCTGAGTGGATGGAGAGGCAGCAATGAAGCTGAGTTGAAGAGGGAGGAAGCCTGTGCAGGGAACCCAAACACTACAGCTAGTTCCCCAGAATGGCTCCTAGGAAAGGGCCTCTGCCTGAGAGAGACCTGTGGCCTAGAACACCTAACACAAGAAACACAGTGATTGCAGGAGACTCCCCCAGGGCCCAGGAGCAGATCTGGTGATGGAGGCATCTCTCCCACCCCCACTATAGAGCACACCTGCAAACAAAAGGAAGTATAAAACAGCCATGCCACTGGGTATTAGGCTAGCCACTGGCCATCGCTCTTAAGCACCATGCATTGGATCACATCCCAAACTACAACATCAAAATTTATCCTGCTACATATACACCTGTGAAACCAAACACAAGAATTACTCATACATAAAAATCCTGGACAGAGAAAGCCCTGGCCCTTTCAAAGCATCCAGAAACAAAACCAATTGCCTATACTCAACATACACTACAGTTAAAGGAACACTAACCCTACCAGAAGAGAAAAAATCAGTGCAAGAACTCTGGCAATTCAAAAAGCTAGAGTGTCCTCTTACCTCAAAATTAGCCCACTAGCTACCAAGCAATGGTTCTTAATCAGTCTAAAATAATTGCAACAGACATAGAATACAGAACCTCGATGGCAGGGAAGCTCATGAACATTAAGCAGAAAGTTGAAACCCAATCCAAGTAATCCGGTAAAGCAATCTAAGTAAGTGCTGAAAGATGAAATTGCCATTTTAAAAAATAGCCACACTGAATTTCTAGAGCAGAAAAAATTCAGTATAAGAATTTTATAATACAATAAGAAATATTAACAGAAGGTAGGCCAAGCTAAGGAAAGAATCTCAGAGCTCAAAGACTGGTTCGTTGAATCAACTGAGTCAAAAGAAAATTTTAAAAAAGAATTAAAAAAAGAAAATGAACCAAAGCTTTAAGAATTATGGAATTATATAAAGAGACCAAATCTACGACTCATTGTCATTCCTAGAAGAGAAAGAAAGAGAAAAGGCAACTTGGAAAGTCGATTTGAGAATAGAGTCTATGAAAATTTTCCTAACCTCGCTAGAGAGAGTGACATGTAAATCCAAAAAATACAGCAAACCCAGCTAGGTACTATAAAAGGTGACTATCCCTAAGGCACATAGTCATCATATTCACCAAAGTAAATACAAAAGAAAAAAAAATCTTAAAGGCAGCTAGAGAGAAAGGTCAGGTTTTCATACAGCAAGAACTCCACTAGGCTAGTAGTAAATATCTCAGCAAAAACCTTACAAGCCAGAAGAGATTAAGGGCCTATGTCCAACATCATTAATGAAAATAAATTCCAGGCAATAATTTTATATTTCACTAAACTAAACTTCCTAAGTGAAGAAGAAACAAATTTCTTCTCAGATAAGCAAATACTGAGGGAATCAATTTCAACTTGACCAGCCTTATGAAAGGTCCTTAAGGGAGTGCTATACATTGAGTAAAAAGAATGACACCTGCTACCACAAAAACCCACTTAAGTACATAGCTCACAGGCACTATAAAGTATCTACACAATCAAGTCTACCTAAAAACCAGCTACAAACATGATGATAGGATCAAAATCTCATGTATCAACATTAACCATAAATGTAAACAGGCTAAACACCCCACTTAAATGACGTACAATGGCAAACTGGATAAAAATGCAAGGCTCACCATCTGTAGTCTTCAAGAGACTCATCTCATATGTAATGACAGCCACTGGCCCAAAATAAGGGGATGGAGAAAATCTGCCATGCAAATGATAACAAAAAAGCAGGAGTAACTATTCTTATATCAGATAAAACAGACTTTAATCAAAATTTAAAAGAACAATTGAAGAATGAAGAGCATTACGTCATGAGAAAGTATATGATCAAACAAGAATACTTAAGTACCCTAAATATAAATGCACCCAACATGGAGCACCCACATTCATAAAACAAGTTCTTTTTGGACTACAAAAAGACAGACGACCACCCAATAATTGTAGGAGACTTCAACACCCCCGCTGGCAGCATTGCATCATCAAAGCAGACAACTAAGAAAGAAACTGTGTACTTAAACTTCACACTTGACCATTTGGACCTAATAAGACATCTACAGAACACTCCACTCAATAACCACAGAATATACATTCTTCTCATCTGCACAGGGAACATATTCTAACATTGACCACATGCTTGGTCATAAAGCAAGTCTGGATAAATTTTAAAAAATGAACTCATATCAAGCACACTCTTAGATCTCAATGTAATCAAAATATAAATAAATATCAACATCTCTCAACACTACACAAATAGATGAAAATTAAACAACTTTCTCCTGAATAACTTCTGTGTGAAAATCAAAATTAAGGGAGAAATTTTAAGAAAGTGAAATTAATGAAAATGGGAACACAAATTACCAAAATCTCTGGGATGCAGCTAAATCAGTGTTAAGAGGAACGTTTAAATGCCTTTATCATAAAGTTAGAAATATTTCAAATTAACAATCTAACACTACGCCTAAAGGAACTAGGGAAAAAAAAAAAAGAACAACCCTACATCAACGCCAGGAATGAAAAGCAACAACTAAAATAGAGAAGATCTGAATGAAATTGAGATGCAAAAATCCATACAAAAGATTAATGAAACCAAGAGTTGATTTAAAAAAAGAGATTGATAGACCTTTAGCTAGATAAACAAAGAAAAAAAGGAGAAGATCTAAATATATAAATCAGAATGACAAAAACGACATTAAAAATGGTCCCACAGACATACAAAATAATCCTCAGAGAATACTAGGAATAACTCTAGACACAAAAATCAGAAAATCTAGAGGAAATGGATAAATTTCTGAAAACAGGCAATCTTCCAAGATTGAATCAGGAAGATACTTAAATACTGAAGAGACCAATATGAAGCTCTGAAATTGAGTAAGTAATAAAAAATCTACCAAGCCAAAAAGCCCTGGACTATATGGAGTCACAGCAAAATTCTACCAGAAGTATAGAGAAGAACTAGTACAATTCTACTGAAACTATTCCAGAAAAGTTGAAGAGAACGTACTCCTTCCTAACTCATTCTGTGAAGCCAGAATCAGCTTAATACCAAAACCTGGCAGAGACGCAAAAAAAAAGAACATTCAGGTGACCACTGTTGATGAACATAGACTCAAAAATTCTCAACAAAGTACTAGCAAACTGAATCCATCAGCAGCATATCAAAAAATTTATCTACTATGACAATACAGGCTTTATTCCTGGGATGCATGGCTGGTTCAACATATGCAAATCAATAAACGTGATTCACCAGATAAACAGAATTAAATCAAAAACCATATGATCATCTCAATGGATGCCGGAAAAGCTTTCAATTAAATCCAGTGTCCCTTCATGAAAAAACAAAACAAAAAAAAAACCCTCAACAGTTGAGGCTTCAAATAAGCATACTTCAAAATAAAAAAGAGCTATCTACAACAAACCCACAGCCAATATAATACTGAATGGGCAAAAGCTGAAAGCATTCTCCTTTAGAAATGAAACAAGCCAAGGACATCCACTCTTACCACTCCTATTCAACATAGTACCAGAAATCCTAGTCAGAGCAATCTCGCAACAGAAAAAGAGAAAAGCACCCAAATAGGAAGTAAAGATTAAGGCAAACTATCTGTCTTCACCCAACAATATCATTCTATACCTAAAAAACCTTAAAGACTTCAACAAAAGTCTACTAGAAATGATAAAGGATTTTAGCAAGGTTTCAGGATACAAAATCAATGTACAACAATTAGTAGCATTTCTATACAACAACAACATCCAGGTTGAGAGTTAAATTAAGAACACAATCATATTTACAACACCTAGGATGAAAATAAGATCCCTGCAAATACAACTAACCTAAGATGTGAAAGATCTCCACAAGGAGAATTACAAAACACAGCTGAAATCTGAAGCTGGATGCAGTGGTTCATGCCTTTGGGAGGCCGAGGCAGGTATATCGCTTGGACCCAGGAGTTTGAGACCAACCTGGGCAACATAGTGGAACCTCATCTATACAAATTGTTTTTTGTTTTTTTTTTTAATAGCGAGGCATGGTGGCACATGCCTGTAGTCCTAACTACCCTGACGGCTTGAGGCCAGGAGCTCAAGCCTGCAGTGAGCTATAATAACTCCACTGCATTCCAGCCTGGGTGAAAGGGTGAGACCCTGTCTCAAAAAAGGAAGGAAATAAGAAAAGGAAGGAAGGATGGAAGGAAGGGAGGGAGGAAAGGAGGGAGGGAAGGAAGGAAAGATGGAAGGAAGGAAGGAAGGAAGGAAGGAAGGAAGGAAGGAAGGAAAGAAGGAAGGAAGGAAGGAAGGAAGGAAGGAAGGAAGGAAGGAAATTTTGATAACACAAATAAATGGAATAACATTCCATGTTTACAGATTAAAAGAATCAATATTGTTAAAATGGCCATACTGCCCAAAGCAATTTGTAGATTCAAGGCTATCTCCATGAAACTACCAACATCATTCTTCACAGAATTAGAAAAAACTATTCTAAATTTATATGGAACACCCCCAAAAGCCAGAATGGCCAAAGCAATTCTGAGCAAAAATAATAAAGCCAGAGAGGCATCATACTACCCAATTTCCAGCTATACTATAAGTGTACACTAACCATGATACTGTTACAAAAGCAGACACTTAAGCCAATGGAACAGAATAGAACACTCAAAAATAAAGCTGCACACTTACCACCATCTGATCTTGGACAAGGCCAACAAAAACAAACAACGGGGAAAAGGCACCCTATTCAATAAATGGTGCTGGGACAATTCGCTAGCCATAAGCAGAAGAGTGAAACTGGATGCTTACCTTCCACCATACACACAAATTAATTCAAGATGGATTAACGGTTAAAATGTAAGACTTCAAATTATGAAAACTCTAAAACAAAACCTAGGAAATATTTTTCTCGACACTGGCCTTGGCAAATAATTTTTGGCTAAGTTTCTAAAAACAATTGCAACGAAAACGAAATTGACAAGTGAAAGTCAATCAAACTAAAAAGCTTCTGCACAGCAATAGAAACTATCCACAGAGTAAACAGCCAACTTACAGAATGGGAGAAAATATTTGCAAACTATGCATCTGATAAAGATCTAATATAACAAATCCATAAGGAAGAAAAAATGACAAGCATAAAACAACCCCAGTCAAAAAGGGCAAAGCTAATACAGGAGCAGAAAATCAAACTCCGCATCTTCTCACTTATAAGTGGGAGCTGAACAATGGGAACACATGGACACAGGGAGGGGAACAACACACAGTGGGGAACAACACACAACACACAACACACACTATAATTTTCTGTAGGGGGTTGAGGAGAGGGAGAGCATCAGGAAAAATAGCTAATGCATGCTGGGCTTAATACCTAGGTGATGGGTTGATAGGTGCAGCAAACCACCACCACACACGTTTATCTATGTAACAAAACTGCGCTTCCTGCACATGTACCCCAGAACTTAAAATTTAAATCAAGAAAAGGCAAAGGACATGAACAGATATTTTCTCAAAAGAAGACACTCAAGTATATGAAAAAACACTCATCCTCACTCATCATCAAATAAATAAATGCAAGCAAAAACCACAGTAAGATGCCAACTCACATCAGTCACAATAGCTATAATTAAAAAGTCAAAAAATTAGATGTTGGCCAGGCTGCAGAGTAAAGGGAATGCTTATACAACTACTGTTGGTGGAAATGTAAACTGGTTCAGGCACTGTGGAAAGTATTTTGGAGATTTCTCTAAGAACTTAAAACAGAGATACCCTTCGACCCAGCATTCCCATTACTGGGTATATATTCAAAGGAAAATAAATTATTCTACCAGAAAAATATATATGCACTCGTATGTTCATCAGCATGTTATTCACAACAGCACAGACATGGAATGAACCTAGGTGCCCATCAACGGTGGATTGGATAAAGAAAATGTGGTACATATACACTATGGAATACTATGCCTCCATAAAAAAGAATGAAATTATGTCCTTTGCAGCAACATGGATGGAGCTAAGGACATAATCCTAAGCAAATTAGTGCTGGAAAAGAAAACCAGATACCACACATTCTCACTTATAAGTGGAACCTAAACATTGAGCACACAGGAACATTAACATGGGAACAAGACATGCTGCAGGCTATGGGGGTGGGGGAGAGAGGGGAGCATGGGCTGAATAACTACCTACTGGGTACTATGCTCACTACCAGGGTGCACTGTACAAAAGTAACAAATCTGCATATGCACTATCTGTGTCTGAAAAAAATTGAAATTATAAAAACCAAGAGAATATGTTTCTAATGAATGTAGACTTTATTTGATGGACTGGATTAGAATATAATATTTTTTTAAGGGGAAAGGCATTGGGGGATGCACAATGTCTACAGGTTTCTAAATCTCTCTGGTTTCTCACCTAATTCATAGTCTCTTATGTCATTCTCATAGTTTTCATATTCTGCCTTTCCACCTCTTCTTTTTAACAAGTAAAATTCCTCATAGCATACAAAAAACCAATTTTATAAAAAACCCCTATTATAGATCAGGGACCTGTGGATTATATGCTATTAGAACTACACAAAATGTCTCTGTATAGTTTTCTGTATCTTTGGAATATCTTTGGGTGAAGCTGCAGACCTTCTTGGTGAGTGTTACAGCTCTGCGCAGAGCCAAACAGTGAGCAGCAGCAAGACTGCAAAGAGCAAAAGAACAAAGCCTCCACACTGTGGAAAGGGACCCCAGCACGTTGCTGTTGCTGGCTCTGGCAGCCGCTTTTATTCCCTTATCTCACCCCACCCACATCCTGATGATTGGTCCATTTCATAGAGAGCTGATGGGTTCATTTTACAGAGAGCTGATTGGTCTGTTTACAATCCTTTAGCTAGACACAAAAGTTCTCCAAAGTCCCCACTAGATTAGCTAGACACAGAGCACTGATGGGTGCGTTCACATACCTTGAGCTAGACACAGCATGCTGATTGGTGCATTTACAATCCTCCAGCTAGACGTAATAAGTTCTCCAAGTACCCACCGGACTCAGGAGCCCAGCTGGCTTTGCCTAGTGCATCCCGGCCGCGGGCGGAGCTGCCCGCCAGTCTCTGGCGCGCTCCCGCACTCCTCAGCCGTTGGGCGGTTGACGGGACCGGGTGCCGCGTAGCAGGAGGTGGCGCCCGTCCCCTCGGGGTGGCGCGCGGGAGCCCGCGGCTGGGGGGCGGGGGGCAGGGGACGGGGGCGGGGAGCAGGGTGAGGGCTCCAGCATGGCAGGCTGCAGGTCCCGAGCCCTGCCCCCTTGCCCCGCGGGGAGGTGGCTGAGGCCCAGCGAAAATTCGAGCGCGGCGCCGGCGGGCCATCACTGTTGGGGGACCCAGTGCACCCTCCGCAGCTGCTGGCCCGGGTGCTAAGCCTCTCTCACTGCCCAGGGCCGGCGGCGCCAGCCGACCGCTCAGAGTGCGGGGCGCGCCGAGCCCGCGCCCACCCGGAAGTCGCGCTGGACCTGCGAGCACCGCAGGCAGCCCAGGTTCCGGCCCGCGCCTCTCCCTCCACACCTCCCCGCCGGCAGAGGGAGCCCGCTCAGGCCTCAGCCAGCACAGAGAGGGGCTCCCACGGTGCAGCTGCGGGCTGAAGGGCTCCTGAAGCGCGGCCAGAGTGGGCTGAGGCCGAGGAGGCGCCGAGAGCCAGCGAGGGGATGCCAGCAAGCTGTCACCTCTCAGAAATACAGGAAGAACATCAATAATGTTCGAAGTTATAAAGTAGGTTTCTATCAAGAATAAAACATAAACGATCAAAGAATTCCTTATAAAAACATTTTTTATTTCTAGGAAGCAAAACGTAAATATAAAATTTGAGAGTCCACCAAAAAAAATTAGATGCCAGATTTCACTATAATTATCAGGGAAGCGCCCAAACGGGTTGTTTACGGCGCCTCGGGGAAACTTTCTGTTTCGTGTTAAGGGTCTTGAACCATGATGTTTAGAAAACCGTGGGCTGATGCTTTCAGAACCTCTGTGATTGTTGCCTCTGACACTGCATCCAATAGACTAGCATGTTGATTAGGGAAAGCTAAATTCAATAAAATACGACTGTAAGTGGGGTCACCACCTTGAGGGGTTATGTTAGAAGAGTAGATGATAAGGTGGTATCGATAGGGTATTGACGTCTGGGCTCACATGGTTGCCCGGGGCCTTTCAAGACCAATGACTGATAAGAAGAGGTAATGTTCAGGACATAGAGTTTAGGATTGGGGGACACTGTGAGTTAAGGGCCATGACAGAAGTCTTCATAAGTAAACTGTTATTGACACAAGCTGCTACCTGCCCAGGTGAGCAATCTGTTGGCCCAGAGGAGAGTTGCTTACTGACATAAATTGATTTGCAGAAATTTCCTGAAGCAAACAATAAGTTATTTATTGGTTTGCAGCCTTACTTTCCTGAAAAATAATTTTCTGGAATGAATTGTGAAATCATGTTGACACAGATGGCCTCAGGTTTCAGTTCGGATAATTAAGCTGTGTAAATATAGAAAGTCTAAGGTTTCTGTGTGCTGTTGATTCACAGTATGCAACAGTGATCATATTACTTTTATTTACTATGAGCTTCAGCTGAAAAGTCCAAAAGAAACTTTAATTTCAGATATTTAATGAAATCATTATAGCTGTGGTAATTTCCTTTAGCTGGGTGTGAGTGTGTGATGTGAGCGTGTGATTGTGTGTGTGTGTGTGTGTGTATGTGTGTGTGTACTCTGGCAGCATATTCCAAATTTCTGTAAAATTTCAGTTTGAAATTAATAGAAGACATATTAAATTGTTTAAACTCTTTGTTATTTAACTTCTATATTACTTTAGTTGATTACTCTGTATTATTACGGCAAAGCTTTGATATGTTGCCCTGAATTTAAATGAAAAGGCTGTTCGGCATAAAAACAGGAATATTTTATTACCAAAAAGAATTAACTACCATATGTCATTTACAGAAAAGAGTAAATTCTTCAGGGCATAGAAAATACACATTTCCTTCTGTTTGTGTGGAAATAAGCAAAATACCTGTTATAATAGATTCCTCACAGAATTTTGTGAAGCTTCAGGTAAACTTGAAAGAGAAAAATTAAAATGCTAGAGTTTCATAATTACAAATTGGGATATAAAAATAGAATAATTATTTGAATTTTGTATTCCTCTCCAGGGGATCAAAAGTAATATATGAACTTTTAATAAATATTGATATAGCTTCACGTTGACTCCACATGTGAGCAATTTGCTTTCTGTTAAATTCACAATTGCATAATTTTTTTCAGGCTGGAATGCACTTGGATGCCAGAGATTTTGATTTCTTAATGTGAAATAAGGTGATAATACATTCCAAAGTATATATTTTTTCAACTTTAAATATATCTGGTGTATTTGGAGTAATATCAGAGTAAATACACTTATATGTAAGAGAATCAAAGGAACAAGATATTATTTTATATCCAAGGAAATTAAAACACTTAGAACATAAATACATATTGCATTACTTCATATTAAAGAAATGCTTTACAAAAGAAAATAAAGGAGCTTATTTTATAGCCCCATTTCCACAAATAATAGCAAAGGTACATACACACATCTAATGTTTTACACACTCATTATTGTTTCTCTTAAAATTTGTTGCTTATACTATTTTAAAAAGCAAGCCTATAGATTGTTGTGTGTATATACATCTACACACAACATATATATATGTGTGTGTGTATATATATATATATATATATATATATATATATATATATGGCAGCAAGCAAGAGAATGGGCCTCTTCCTACTGAGGTTTAACATTTGCATGTATATGTATATTTTGATTCACATAGACTTATTGTTCTTTAATTACATGAACAGTGATTCCTGGTTACATTATTGGAAAATGGAAGCAATGCTCAAAGAGCATCACCTAAATTTCCATCATATTTTGCTCTCAATATATTTTGTACATCCAAATATATTGTGATTAATCTGCATACATTTTTGCTGTTCTAGGTGACGCTGATATGAGGCTAGGTAATACACGACCTTAGTCTGCATGTTGTACTTGTGTAACACACATAATTTTACAGTGCTAACAGGTGCTATAATAACTTACTATAGTTAATGATGAATGAAAGAAGGAAGATGTTAAGATGTTAGGGAAGGACTCAAAAGATGCAGTGCTTGAGTTAGAATTTTAAGGGAGATTATGCAAAAGCAGTCACTTAAGGTGGGTTGGGATAATCTAGAATGTGGGAATGATGTATGCAAAGTCACACAGGAGAGATACAGCATGCATGTTTAGAAAATTGTTGATTACATATGGAAAGTTTGCATCCTAGAATGTCAGGATTTTAAGCTAAGTGGGGTTCAAATTAAATTTTTCACATACTTCGCTGCATTATAATAACTAGTTTATGTTTAACTCATCCACTAAGTTATTTGAAAAGAGATGCCAGTGTTCACTCAATCTAGTTGTCTGTCATTAATAATTTAAAAATAATTGAGATTTTAATTTTGGTCTGCTAAGCCTGTTTAATTAAAATTTGACATTAAATAAGATTTTACAGGCCTCATTTTTTTTTCAGTCATCACAGTTTGAATATTAAACATTACTACTTTTATCTCCCTCAGTCAGCATAAAACATGCTACTTACGGTTTTAATAACGAAATTCAATGAGCACCAACAAAATTTGATGTAACTATTAACTTTGAAATTTTATTGAACTAGAACTATGCCTTGGGTATCATTCAAAGCATTTAATTGTTGCAATAAAAAACTTTGAGATAAATTGAAATGATGGACAATATGGGTCGAAAGCAACATTGGCTTGAGGGAATAGGCTAATGTTTGAGAACAGAATTGTTAAGGACAAGATTGGATGTTTATATTATTTTAGGAAAGGTACACTCTAATGGAGTTTAATTCTAAAATGTTTACTATTATGAAAATATTATATATTATATGATCATTATAGAAAATTAAAACTATAAGAACATCAGAAGCAAAATAGCCAAAGTCTACCTAAACCCAATTAGAAGTGAATACTATTAATCTTGATTTGCATGTTTCTAATCTTATTATTATCAAATTAATAAACAGCTTTCAGATATTCTGCTTCTCCCTGTTACTAGATCAGGATAATGTCATTTATGTACAGGCATCTCCTGCTTACTCAGTTCAGCATTGATCAATAAATATTTTAGACTTCCATTCAAAACACTTCCATTTTTCTTTTGCCCATATTCTTTTTATTCAGTGCTGCCTGTTTTCAAATACACAACACTTTGTCAAACAAATTCCAACATTAGATCGGATATAGTTGGTATCAAAGTAGTAATACACATTGCCATTCCTAATCCTCAACGCATTGATCCTGAAAATTATTTGTAAGAATAGAAAAATACTGGATATTTCAAATTAAGTCTCATTTTGTTGCTTACACATGAGAGACTGGAATTAACCAACATAACCATTACAAGGTGATTGAGCAAATGAATAGATGGAAAATATTATAGAAACTTTACTGCAGTTCATCAACCATTGTGGTCATTAGGCCATAGGAAAATACAGTGTGATAGTACCCCTGTCTTCTTTTCCATTTGTTAAGTCTCATATCCAAGTAACAGTGGATAGACCTTATGAGAATACAAAGTGAGATAAAAATAATTTTTGGCTTTTCAATGTATCTTATTTGATCTAAGAGGTATTTCCCCGACTTTGATGCAATAATTATTGTCACAAAATTTGACTTTATTAAAGACCATTTTAAGGATCTTTGCAGCTGACAGCAGTGACTTTTTTACCTCCTACAAAGTTTCAACTGACAGTCTTATTGTCTCTGACTTTCCCAAATTAATGACATAATTAGTCACCAGGGCTTTGGCTGCTCAATAGGGATTTAGTAAGCAATGAGTCATATGTTGGGGAACACTTCAACAAACAAAATGTTGGCAGAGAAAGATGTATGAATCAGCTAGGAAGAAACACTATTCTATCATTGAGGATCTTTCTCCTATTAGATATCACAGAAAAATTTTCATATAGATTACCATATGAGTGAGCCAAAATCTCTAGGAACAAAAAAGCTTAGTATAATTATAACTCCTTGCCATGATTTAACTCAAAATTTCTTTACTTATTTAGCAATTCTATAAACAAGAATCATTTCTGTTAAGGATACTAAGGAGAGTGTTCCTATTGAATCAGAACATTTAAAAGAAATAATTGAGGAACTCACACATGTAAAACGTCATTAACCAAACTAAAATAAAATGTGAGGGCATAAACTTAACCAGAAATGTTTAAAACCTATATATAAAAAAAACTAGAAAACACTTCTGAATGGCACAAATTTGGACTTGAGCACGGGGAAAGAAATTCCATGCTCTTGAAAAAGCCTTAAAATCATAAATGTGCCAGTTCTTTAAATAAACTTATATCTTCTATGTCATAACAAAACGATATTTTCTAGAATTTCTTTGTCCAGATTTAGAAAAATAGACAAATTTACTTGGAGGAATAAAGAAGCAAGAATAGCTAGAAATATCCTATAAAATCAATGGAATTTGGAGTCAATACAAAATATTAAGCAATTCTTAAAGCTTCTATGATTAAAATGAGTTATAAATACAGATAGATGAAGATCATATAGAAAATCAAGACACTGACAGATATGGAAAGGTGGTATATAATGAAAACATTTCAGATCAATGAGGGGGAAATGTTAACTGGAAAAGAATATTAAAAAGGCAATGAACTCAATAAGACAACAAGAAGCAAACCACAGAAAAATAACTGGACTGGATTAAAAAGAAAATATTTTAGACACTTCAAAAGTAAAATATTCAAATAACCAATGAACTTATTAAAAGGTTTTTATTTATATTGGTTATCTGAAAAAATAATTCAAACCACAATGAGATGTAAATACTTGTCATTCAGAATCCTGAATTTGAAAGGAATGTTTTAGAATTCTAAGTTGAAGAGAAAATGCAAAGTATTGATGAGAATGTTGACTAATTAGAACACTCAAATTGATGTTATTGGCATAACTTAGTTCAAATAATTTGGATAAAGATATGTAGTAGGCCCCAAAATTCTACTTGTAAAGATGGTTTCTCCAGAAAGGCATGCATATATATAGCTAAAAAAAAATGTGTACTCATGAAAACACTTTTCAGAATAACACCAAAATAACCCCAAACTGTGGGCCAAAAGTGGACTAAAATACTTATAAAGAGTACAGTAAACAAATAAGTTGTAATATGATCACCTAATAAAATATTAGAGAAATAAATGTAAATAGTTTCATTTGCAGGTCATATAATCAATTAGTCTCACAAATGTAATATTAAGCAAAAAAATGCGGTTCAAAACACTACACACACTATTTGATTCCTTACTGATAAAAGTTAGAATAGTGTTATGTTAGGAGGGATGGGTGGAAATCAGGTGTGTGACTATTACATTTTCTTATTCTGGATGATCATAGTATTTTAAAACTCACTAAGCTTTAAACTTATGTGCATTTACCCATGTGTATACAATACTTTAATAGAAGCTTCAAATCAATAAGAAAACATAAAACTGTCTGATGGAAAAATAGCTTGAGGAAATGAACAGGTATAGCAGAAAAGAAGGGCTGCATATAGTTTAAAAACTTGAAGAGATGTTTAATCTCTTTGCAAATAGAAAAACATACGCATTTAAATTGAAATACCATTTTCATGTTCCAAAATTAAAATTATTAGAAATATGATGGTATACAGTGATGGTAATATGGGAGAAAGGAAACATCCTAGGCAATTTGGCTAAGCTTTTCTGAGGAAGATTTAGGCAATATGCCATTAAGATTTAATGTGAACAAATGGGAAATTTGCCCACATAAATCAATGGAAAGATACTCTATTTTTCAAAATTTAATCTGAAAATACCTAAGCCCCTGATATTTTTCTAAAAACTGGAATGTCCCTGTGGTCATTGGGTTTTAGAGACATAATTTTCACTGTGATGGTCATAATTTTAAAAGGTTACATCATCCATTTTTAGTTAACATATATTGTAGTAACATCACATATCTATGTAATAGAAAAATAGAGTCAATTCATGTAGGGACAGACATGAAAATGACAAATACATATAGAGATAGAAAGGTATCTTGTGCATTATACTGAGAAAGACAATAGAAATAAACAATTTATATGGGTTGATTTATTTTAATTAAGATATATAAGTGGTTAGATAAATGTTAAATAGGTCAGTATGTAATTACAGAAAATGACAAATTGTTATGTATGGTACATTTGCAGGCATAACACAGACATTACATTTTGGAAAATTGTGTTCTATGCAACAGTGCCAAGTCTAATGAAAGTAAGAGGAAGAGGAATTCAGCCAAAGTACCAACCCCTGTTATCCATTCCTTAAGAAAGGAACTTCTTTATACACTCAAAAGAGGGGATTCTTTTTAAATTTGCTTCCAGGGGGACATCTGCATACACATACACATACACACACACACACACACACATACACACACACACACACATTTACATTATATTTAAATGTGTGTGCATGATATATACATGTATTTATTTATTTTATACGTATGTGTTATCCAGGTCCTATATAGGAACACACACACACACACATTTTGAATCAAACACTCTTTCGTATAATTTTGGTGACAAATGTATGCAGTAAATGAGAATACTTTAACTTTCCAAAAAGCTATTCAAAAGTATAATTTTCAAATAAAATATATGTTTGTATGACAACAGATGATTTTTTATAAATAATATATTCTGCATTATCAATCTGCCACTGGTTTTTATTAAATAAAAAAACCCATAAGTTTGTATGCTCTTAAAATACATATAACATTTGTAAGAATAGTTTTTATGTAAAAATAATTATAGTTCACTATAACTATGTTAAAAATAGACATAGCCAGGCAAGTCGCTCATGCCTGTAACCGAGCACTTTGGTAGGCTGAGGCGGGCAGATCACTTGAGGCCAGGAGTTCAAGACCAGTCTGGCCAACATAGCGAAACCCCATCTCTAATAAAAATACAAAAATTAGCCGGGCATGGTGGCACATACCTTGTAATCCCAGCTACTCAGGAAGCTGTGGCAGGAAGACTGCTGGAACCCGGGAGGCAGAGTCTGCAGTGAGACAAGATCATGCCACTGCACTCCAACCTGGGTAACAGAGTGAGACTCTGTCTCAAAAAAGAAAAGAAAAGAAAAAAATAGACACAGATGAAGGGTGTCTTTGATTATGCAAATAGATTACCCATCTTGTACTCACTGTGTTTATTTCAATAAATGATCCACAGAATATGCTACTTTTGATTTATAGTTTTCTTCTCCTTCACCGCTGTGGACTGGGAAAATATTTCTTATTATTTCTGCTGCAGAGTAGCAAAAAATTATGAGCCAGAAGGAAGACCACTACAACAAGCAAAATCTCTGAGTAATCATAAAATGAAGAACTATTTCCTGTTGGGATTCATTGTGAAGAATTTGATTTTAAATTCTTGGTGTTGGCATTTTATTTTTAAAGTTTAGCTTTCTTGCCTATTCTGAAATTGTCAAAAATTCAGAAAAACAATCATGATCATTTGCTTGCTGATCAATGGAGACCTAATGATTTTTAGGCTGTGAGACTACAGTAATAAATAAATAAATAATAAATAAAGTTGATACTTCCTTCTATCGAGGGAAATTGAGCATTTTTCTTATAGTCCTAAATCACCAGAGCAAGGGATATATGTAATACTTGAGTGTTGACATTTTATTAATTTTTATATTTAACTAGAGCTGTAAAGTTGAAACAAATGGGCCAATGCAATATCCCATAAAATATTTTAAAAACACAAAAAAGAAATATCACTAAAATTTAAACATAAAAAAAATACAAAAAAACCCTGAGCTATAGGAAGGGAAGTATCCTCTAAATGCCCAAGTTGAGGGTAGTCCTCTTAGAAAGGCACAGTAAGAAGCAGTGTTTGATGGGAACGTGATTTTTCAAGTATTTTGAATTTTCAAACTCCCCACATTAACTGAGTAAAATGAAAAAAATATATAAACTGCCTCTGAGGCAGAAAAAACATTTGGCATTTTCAAGACAGAATTATAATAAAAATATCTCGCCCCAATAGAATACAAAGAAGCATCCTTAAGCAAATAGAAGGCATCTACGGAAATATCACACTGAAGTTTGAACTAATAAATTATTCATTTAAGATCCAGAAGAAGACAAAGTGTCCTCTTTCACTATTGTTCTCTCTACTGTATGGGAGGAATTAACCAGTGAGACAAATCAAATAAATAAGTAAAACATACACAGTTAAGAAATGAAAAATACAATTCTAAATTTTTAAACAACTCCATTACCTATACATAAACCTCTAGTGACTGTAAAAATCAGCTGCTAGAATAAACTAGTAATTTTAGCCACATCATAGAAAAAATAAGTCAACCCATTAACTTATTTCTATATATTTCCAATGAGCAATTAATGATGAAAATCAAATCCATGTAAAATACTAATAAAAATAAAATATGTATATATGATTTTAACAAATTACATGCAAGATCTCTCTAAATAGGAAACTAGCAAAAGTGTTGGGAGATGTAGGAAAGTTCTAAATAAATGGAGTCACATACAATAATTGATGGTTTTGATGTGTATCCCTGCCCAAATCTGATATGATGTAATCTCCAACGTTAGAGGTGAGGCCTGGTGGGAGGTGATTGGATCATGGGGTGGATTTCTCATGAGTGGTTCAGCATCATCCCTCTTGATATTGTTCTGATAATAGTGAGTGAGTGAGTTCTCATGAGATCTGGTCATTTAAAAGTGTGTAGCACCTTCCCCTTTCACTCTCTTGCTGTTCTGGCCATGTGACGTGCCTGTCCCCCTTTGCTTTCTGCCATGATTGTACGTTTCCTGAGTCTTCCCAGAAGCTAAGTAGATGCCAGCATCATCCTTCCTGTATAGCCTGCAGAACAGTGGGGCAATTAAACCTCATTTCTTCATAAATTGTTGAGTCTTCTGTATTTCTCTATAGCAATGCCAGAACAAACTAATACAATAATCGTGGCTTGAAAGTTCAGTGAATTTTAGTGTGTAAAAGGTTTTGGTTTTTCCAAATTAATCATTCTAGAAATCCTCACCATAATCACAAAAGATATTTTTATATAAATTGACACACTGATTTAAAAATGTACATTACATCAAGAGAGCAAAAACAAATGATAAAAAGCTGAAAAAAAAGTTGGAATACTCACACTTCCTAACACCATGCAATAACTTAAAGCTATAGTCATCAAGAGAATGTGTTATTAGTATATGGATAAACAATTAGAGTAATGGAATGGAATAGAGTTCACAAATAGATCCATGCTTATATGAATAATATAATATCAAAGATACTGCAGTTATTCAAAGGGGAAAGATACTTTTATTTAACAAAGTGTGCAGAACTACGAGATAAATGTGAAGAAAACAAACCCAAGTCCTTCCTCACAACAAAAGCATGAATGAGTTCAAAATTAAATGAGTCCAAAATATATTATGGAACAATATGTAAAAGTGAAAGCATAGGCTTCAAATATAAAGCACAGAAAATGTCTTAGTAAACTACATGAAAGCATTTCTTTTTATGCAAACTGTGGAGAAATTTCTTTTTATTCAGAAAGCAATAATTATATAATGATAAACTATAGAAATGTATAAATATATTTATACTTTAATGTTTATTTTTAATTACACAATTATATATACTATTTATTATGAATAAGAGCAAGAATATATAAATATAATGTACAACATAGAAACAAGAGAACAATAAAAACCAACAGATGCTACACAAAAATGATACAATAGCAAATAAGCAAATGAAAAATTTCTTAATATCGTTAGTAATAAAAAAATAAAATGAGATAATTATACACATCTACTAGAAAAGCTACTATTTTAAAAATTGTGTTACCAATATTTGGCATAGATGTCAAGAAACCAGAATCTAGAGTTTGCATACATTGACGGTGGGAGTGTAACACAGTACAGCTACTTTGGATAACTAAATCTACCTTACATGTACCAATTCCACCCCTAGGCATTTATCCTAGCGGGGAGAAAAGCATAAGTCTATAAAAAGGCTTGCACAAGTACCTTTATTCATTATTGTCAAAAACAGACACCACGCAACTGTCCACCAAGAGCGGCGTTCTCAAGTTCAGCACTATTAGCTGTTGAAGTGGCTTAATTCTTTGTTGTGGGGAGCTATCCTTTGTGGAACCCTGGCCTGTGCACACTCTATCCCCTCCTCCACAAACCTCTGATAACCAAAAGTGTCCCCAAACATTGGAAATGTCCCCTGGCAGGTAAAATGTCCCTCATTTGAGAACCTCTGGTCAAGAGTTTAGTAAATAAATTATAGTGGTATGTCTATGAAATGAAATAATATGTAACAATAAAAAAATGTGCTACTTAAACATGCAAGAAATTGTTGAATCTCAAAAATATTATGCTTAAGGAAAAAAGACAAAAAGAGTTCATACTCTATAATTCTACTGAAATATAATTGTAGAAAATAAAAGCTGATATATGGTAATAAAACCAGATTAGTACTGGATTGACGATGTGTTGAAAGTCAAAAGAAGAGGCTTGAGATCTCTTTATAGTGTGATAGTTTTACAAGTATATACGTATGTTAATGTTTAAAAATTTCACACCTCAAAAATGTGCAGTATACCAGATGTTAATTATATCTCATAAAGCTATTAAAATTTTATCTCAAAATTATAGCTTTATTGCATTTTAGGGCATTATCCAATTTTGAATCTAATCCAGTTATCGTAGCTTAATGCAGTATTATGAAAATAATGCCTATAAAGATCCAGTTCCTCAAACACCCTTGGAACCAATTTTGTCATCTATATTAGTTACCTTGGGCTACTATAATAAAGTAGCACAAGCTGTGTGTCTTTAAGCAACAGAAATTTCTTCTCTCACAGTTGCGGAGGCCAGAAGTCAGAAAACAAGGTGTCTGCAGGACCAACCTCTCCTCTGGATGCTCTAGGTGAGAATCTTTTCCATGCCTTTCTCTTAGCTTCTGATGTTGCCATCAGAACTTCAGATGGTGTTCCTTGGCTTCTGTTAATATTAATACATAAATCCTTTTCAGTCTCAGCTTCTGTCTTCACATGGTCCTCTCCACATCCTATCTGTTTCTGTTCCCTCTTCTTATAAAGATAACCCATGTTATTTTAAGTCCCACCTAAAGACATAATTTTAGCTTGATTACATCTGCAAAAACTTTGTGTCCAAGTAAGGTTTCATTTACCTTATGTGTATAACTAGGGTTTAAGGCTTGAACATACGGGTTTGGGGAGGGGAACACAATTCAGACCATGACACTCATTGTTTCACTCATTAATGAGTTAAGGGTGCTTTGATATTCTTACATTTGAATGAGAGTGGTTTTTAAAATTACATTTTGTCGTGTAGTTTGTTCCACCCTGATGCTTAAAGGGAGTCACCTGCCTCAGCCAATTAAACTATGTTGTCTCTGCAGTGCGTTTTATCACAAGAACATGACCTTTAAGCACAAGAACACCTTGTATTCCACCACTAAAAACAGAAATGACATCTACCTTCACTGCTTCCCTATTTCTCTCCATCTTTACTGACTTGGTGTTTTGTTGTTGCTGTCACTTCTGGTTGTTGGTCAATTTTCATTTCTATTCTTATTTTGCTGATAATTCTTATAAATCAGTGCTGAATTTTGTCAAATTATTTTTCTGCATCTCTACAGATGATCATTTTATGTTTTTGTCCCTGTGATAATTTGGTGAATGTCATTGATCAGTTTTTAAATAATGAATATCTTTGCATTTAAGATAATATTTTTTCACTATTAATGTTATCTCTGAAATGAAAGCTAAACCTAGTCAATAGATATTAGAGGTGCATGATTTTTAAAGTTGTATAAAATTAGATAAAAAATACAAAGAAATAGATATAATTTTAAAACTATGTAAAAATGTAAATGCCAAATGATAGAGCACTAAATGAAGCTTGTAATATTCAATACAATCTTTAGAAACTCTTTTGCAGTGCAGCAAAAAAATAGAACTGAAAACAAAGCAGAAGAAATCACAGATATAAAATTAAAGAGGATAGAATTAAGCACCTGAGTTCCCATATCTAAAGTGAAAATCTAAGAATTTAAATATCATTCAAATACAGACTAAAATACAATATAAAATAAAATTTCCTGAACTAATTTTTAAAATACTGTTTAATTTGTAGATAAAAATGCAGACTAATTTTCTGACTATATTACTACAAAAATCTTCTACAAATATTTTTTAACTAAAATTATAAGAAAAACATCCGTCATAAACACGTAAGATTAATATTTTCGTTTCTGAAGTATAAAATGTCTGGATAGACTTGAGCTTGTTGCTTTAGTTTTATATGTGAAGACTGGAAAAATTCTGTTTTGTTTTGAAAAATATTTTGAGCTAAAAATGTTGTATTCCACATTTGTTAGGAATGGAAGTCTTTAAAATATGAAATATTTCCAATTGAAGAAAAATAGTGAACATGAACTTTATCTGAATAAGATTAATGAAAATTATATGTTGAAAAAGTAAAATAGTTATGTGTACTAACAGTGACTACTAACCCAACAATATAAAATTAAGTAAAAATATTATTACCATGTTAAATACAAATTAAAATTAATTATAAAAAAGTTAAGATCTATGATTAAAGTATTAAAATAAAATGAGACTGTATTCACAAATTTAAAAGCAAATTGGTGAATGACATATTTTTTGAAATAATAAATTCTTTGGCATATTTTATATTTTTTATTATAAATGAAAATTATTTATTTGAAATATTTAAAGGAACAAAATATTTGCAGCTCTATTTTATTGAGAAAGTAATTACAAAACAAAAACAAGGAGTTTTTGTAATTACAAAAGAATATATTAATATTATTTAGAAGCACAAAACCAGAAAAGCTTTATATTATTTCTAACAATAAGTGTAAACCATCTAATTTTCTGAAAAGGGGGGGAAATAAATATTTAACAAAGAAGATGTTATTCTTAAATTGTAATACGTACGTTGCCTAAAAATAAAAAGGTAGTTGAAGATACATTGTGAACAACAAAAAATGAAGAGCTGATAATATTAATGTGCGAAGGAAACTCATAACATATTGTACTAATTATAAATCAGTGTATTGACAAAACCTGAGTCCTCAATTATTATTGACTGTTATTGACATATTAATGATAGAATATTAAATATAGAATATAATAAAGCAATTTAGAATAAAAAAGAGAAAGCGATAGACATGAATAGAAACAAAATGCAACTGTTCTATATTAAAAGCCTTTCTAAATTGCCTGCGTTTTTCTAGTGACCTGTGTCGCTATGCAGTGTAGGCTCAGGTGTCTAGATTTTAGTTGCAGATAAACACAGGTAGTATTTTCCAGATCTCAGAATGACCAGTTACATAAAAATAGGCCATAAACCATATATTTCATTCTTACGGTTGACAAACCTCTAATTCACCTGAAAATATTAAAAAGAAAGAAGACAGACGTGACAGTGGTTGGAAGTTGAGGATAAGAAGAAGTTGGCAGAAATAAGCTTTCTTCTTTTGGACAGCAATGCATGATAAAAAAAATTAAACTAAATTCAGTTCATTTCCACTAACTGGGACTTATTTAGAAACTTTAAGAAAGTCTTTGAAGAATTTCAATTGAGTAGTAAATAAGGGCCAATTTATTTCATAGTGTGGACTCTCAAGACAATATACAGCAGTGCTTCTCAAAGTTAAACAGTATATGAGTGACCTGGAAATGAAGATGCAGATTTAATAGGGCTGGAGAGAAGTCTGAGATTCTCAATTTCTAATGAATTAAATTACAAAGAGGAGAAAATAAGGTTATTGCTTACTTTATATACATTCACAAACACAGGCTAATCAAATAATTGTTTAAAGTATTGCTCTGAGAAGAATTAAATTACATATTTCATAGGAAACATTTTCTTTACATTCGGATTTTATCTATTATTAGAATAATAATAGAATCTTGACTTTATGTAACTCTATATTCCAAACAACTAGAAACTTTTCGATAGCAATTGTTCACCATTTAATAACATTTTTCCAAGATATCTAATGCACTCAAGGACAAAATAGCTGCCTTCCAGTGATTTCCAATTTATTCAATTTTCAGGCAATTTGTCTGCCCACACAATGACAGATTACAGTTACATTCTTGCCACGCTCCGAACAGCTAAGCCAATTGTTTTCAATCTTTTTTCTTCAGCAACTCCATCTCTTAAAGTACTTCAGAGTAGTTCCTGAAAGGATTCCTCTTTAGTTAAATGGCTATACAGCTCTCCCATCATCCAAAATAATCAGTGGAGAGATAGCAATATTTTTCATTACATTAGGCCAAGTTGCATTGCTTCCTTCATCTTGTAATCTGATCAGAAACACCACTATAGATCCAATAATTGAGTTTAGAGTTTCAGAGAATTTGGGGTCACAGAACACCTATGTCTATTTTGTAAAGATTATTGCATATTACTGAAATAGCTAGTCAAACACTGCAGTCTGCTTAAAGTATCAAAATAGAAATGTTGAATGCTGTGTCTGCACAGAGTTCATTTAAGCAAAGAATCTACTAGGCTCTTAAGTCTGTTAATGCAAATTCCTGAATACAGTTGACCCTCCATACCCCCATTGTGGGTGGATTTAACTAACCATGAATCAAACATATTTGTTAAAAGAAATACCAAAAATAATTTTTAAAAAGAAATACAACAATAAATGCAAATAAAAAACAATCCTTGTAACAATTATGTGCATAGCATTTATATTGTATTCAGTATTATTAATGTAAGTAATCTGGAAATGATATAAAGTATACAAGAGGGTGTGTGTAAGTTATATGCAAATACTAGCCCATTTTATATAAGAAACTTGAGCATCTCTGGCTTTTGCTATGAAGGGATGATGGTGGTAGGATTGGTAGTGGTCCTGGAACAAATCCCCAGCAGGTACCAAGGGGGACTGTAGACCCCAAAGCTGTTTAGGAATGAGTCACAGCAGCAGGATTGAGGTAGGAATGCTCCCCACAGAAAACATCAACCACCTGTTGATTTTTGAATCTGCTCCTCTCAGGCATGCCTTCAAATGCTATAACCTGGAGATTCAACTCATTTTCATGCTGTAGGTAGGAATAGGTGATTCAATTCCCCAAGAAAGTGACAGAGATCCCTGAAATATAGATTTAAAGTTACATAGTGTCAAATGCTAGTCATTTTCTTTTTGCTCGATGGTATCCTCTCAGAAAAACCTTTTATAATATTTCTAATTCATTTACCAGATTTATAGAATCATCAAATTATCTATCTATCTATCTGTTTATCTATAGATAAACACATCTATCAATGTGTTTTTCAAATATTTTGTGAAGTGGCTAGGGTAACAACCTATGGTTCGAACGTATTTTGTGAAGTGGCTAGGGTAACAACATAATGTTCGAACGTATGTTCGTATTTAAATACAAATGTATTTTGGTTGAGTGATTACTCAAGGTCACTGAGGAATCCACAAGGTTAACCTCCTGACTCTAGAACCATTGTTATATAGAGATATATAAATAGCTGGTTTAATATTATAGGCTTAGCAAAATATTTAATAAATAAGGTCTTAGTAAAACAACACACATGTATTTATCCACTTATTTAATTTTGTTTTTCCATTTCTTCTGAACATAAGTTCCTGAGGACACGGGCCTTTTTTCACAGTTCATTTTTGGATTCCAACATCTAGCCAGTACTTTGCAAAGAGCACTGAATTTGAAATAAATTTCTCAGTTAATGATTTGAATCATATAAAATATTTAGTAAATTTGAAAACTAGTAACCGTGTCAAGTGATTAAAACAAACATACTAGAGGGTAAGAATCCCCTGCCCCTTGCCTTCTTCCTTTACATCCACTTCATTCTTATTCTTGTCTACTTCCCCTGCCCCACCCAGGGAACGTGGTTAGCCCATCAACTGCAAAGATTGTTCTCATATAATATTGTTCTGATGGATAATGAGACTCTGAAAGTGGAACATAAACAGATAAAACAAAAACAAACAGAAAAGAACCCAAAAACCTAAACTCAACTTCAGTTAAAGCAGAAAATATCTGTCCAGCCTAAACCAGGCATACTCAACTTCCTCTTCTTCTGTTAGAAGCCTGAGCCTACTTCAGTCTGGAACCACCTAGTCTTCAGGTTTGCCTGGTGCTCACCAGCTGAAGAAATCCTTTAACGACCTTTATTCAGTCAAGTAAATTGTTTTCTTTTGGCAACTTGCATGTTATTTTTTAGGTTTTCATTTATTTATTTTTTTATATTTAAAGTCATATTTTCTTCCTTTTATTCACTTTGCTGGTCTTTCTCACTTTGATTTTTTTTTGCCTTGTTTTGCATTTGTTTACTTTAACATTTTTTGTAACTTATCTCTTTTATTTTGGAAATTATTCACATTATCAGTTTTCTTTTGCTAGGCAATTTTGATATTCTAATAAACATTATTAACATAAAATATAAAGTTTACTAACACCAAGCCCAAACAATACAAAGTCTTAGGGCTCTTTAATTGCAATTATTTAAAAATATTTGCTACAAATTGTTCATTATTTTATATTTACGTTGTTTTTCTTATTCCCACAAATCACATATTGTTGGTGTGTTTGTTAAATAAAAATCTTTAATTGCAATTGTTTAAAAATATTTGCTACAAATTGTTTGTTATTTTATATTTACGTTGTTTTTCTTATTCCCACAAATCACATATTGTTGGTGTGCTTGTTAAATAAAATTGTGATTGCTTATATATATTTTTTCACATCCTTTCTTCTTGTAATATTTTGGAATTTACATCCAGTTAATTATCCTTTATTCTATAGTATATACTGTAAAAGTTACTAGTCTTGCTAGTAAACCCTCAGTTTTTGGATTGTCTGAAGATGTCTCTATTTTGATCTGCTCTTGAATTCTAAATCTAATTGACATAAAATTCTAGATTTGCCATTATCATTTATTAGCCTTTCAAAGATATTCCACAATTTTCTGACTTTCAATATTTTTGTTGGTAAAAATGGGGATTGTTAATCGGCTTGCATATTCTGTTTTGGATATTCCATTGTTTCCTTATAATTTGTTTATTTATAAGGAAACTTATAAACAAATTATAAGGAAACAATAGAATATCCAAAATAAAGAGAATAGTTATGGGTTCATATAGATAATTCTTCAGAATCTACTAATTTGTGTCTTTCTTCTTTACTTCTGTAAACTTTTCAGCTACTATATATTAGAATATTTCTTAATTTTTTTATATTCATTCTGAAATTTCTTGCTGAAATTTGTTCAAAAGGTGAGTTAACGGAGCTATACATTTTTAGTGTCATGGGCTCTAAATTGCAAAATACATGTATTTTTATTTCAGACAACTTGAGTAACATTTGTGCAAATGTTTTATATACATCGACTTAATTTGGTAAATTTAGGCATGGTGGTAGACAAATTTAAAAATGTATAAAAATCATGGGCAAGCATATGAACATTCTATTTTTGCTACTATAAAGAATAGCAGACTATCCAACTATTTTATGATACTCAACGATACATCTTACTAAATGGTCATGACTCTTGCCTCTCAGGGTCAGAGTTTGCAATAGTGAAAGAAAGAGAAAGCCATGGAAAAAAAACAGGGAGAGGGAAAATATTAAGCGCTAGAATATGTACATTGTTTTGCTTGTATAAATTTAGAACATTCAACACATGTTTACAATGAATACATATAAAATACCAACGACATGAGGAGAATTGGAATAGAAATAAATACAAGGATTCTTTCATGATAACTAAAAAATATCAGTGAAGGTTTGTACATAAAATTTAGGGATTTTATATTATTACCTAATACAATTCTGGCTATAACATCACTAAAGGATTGTAAACGTCTGCTGGGAAACCTATGGGAAAAAATGCAAGTGGAATTGGGGTCATACAAACACATTTTCTAATGGGAAGCTTAACTGGTGAAATGTAAGTTGGAAACATTACTAAATTTAGGTCTATGAAAATGTTTTCCCAAATACAATCTTTTCTTGTTGGATAAGAGGTTTTACTGTGATGTATTATTTCTGACAGCCTCTTTTTTTTTTTAAAGCAAATGAGTAGAATTAAGTGAATTAATTAGCATATCTAACCTGTAAGTACAAATTACTTTCCCTTGGAATTACATAATTGATAATTGTACATCCTTAGATGTGTTTGAATCTGAGATTTACTCTAAACTCAGAGGAAAAAAAGTGAAATTTTGTTTCCATTGTGACACCTTTGTTTCCTTTTTAAGTTTTCAAAATTTCTTAAAAAATATTTTTCCCTTTCATAATTTATTCAACAAGTATCTATTGTTAGGTGTTGGGAACACAAGACCTAAAACTCCTGACAAATATATTCTATTTACAAGGTCAATTTGTACATTAACAAATGCATATATAATACCAGACAAGATTGTAATGCTAACCAGTTTGACTTTGAGGCACAGTATTCAGAATGTAAATGCCCCTGGAAAAAACATTTGAGTATAAATGCCCCTGGAAAAAGAATGTAGTTGGAAAAAACATTCTAAGGTAAAATTATGCAATATTGGTATGAATAATTATAGTGACCAGAGGTTCACACATTTTTGTGACATGCCATTGGTAGAAAAAGAGCCATAGCTGAAAAAATATGGCAGTCATAAGATGTCAGTGGAAATGAAGACAAGGATACCTTTTGGTCAATTTTCTTGAAAATATTGGCTTTTTCAACAGTGTAGTTTATTTAAAATTTAGTCCCAGTTCTTAGCAATTATTTATATACTGATGGACTTATATCCAGGGTCTTCTTGAATTAAAAAAAAGTCAAAAAGTAATTTTTTAAATTTAAAATATTTTAAAATTATGATATATACAATTCTTGCTCTCTCTGTCATATTTTTCCAATTTTTTGTCTGTCTTATTTTTTCTTGCCTTTTCTTCCTTGTCCTTTCCCTTTCTTTTTGTTTTCTTTGTCTGGCCTTGCTTTGAGTTTCTTTTCCAAACGAATTTACTTGAGGTGATATTTTTATGCATAATATACACAGCAAATTTCTAGGGCCTCTCATTTTTTACAAATCTTTGTAAGAAAAGGCTGTCTATTAACCCAATGACATTGTCATAACCTTTTCTAAATTTCAATGATATTCAGTTTCTCGCAGCTATTACATTACAAAGTATACCTCAGTAAAAATCTAGTAAGTCACAGGGCTGACGTTGCTGATTGCTCACTTGCCCAAGCCAGAAGCTTAGAATACATGCTTGATTCTTCACTTTCCTGTGGGTTTATGCCAAATCAATTTCAAATCTATAGATCTTATCCTCTAAATAACATACAGCATGCCTACTTTTTTCTCTCTCTCTACTACTGTCACATTAATTCAAAATAAAAAGATTGATGATTCCTAACTTCCTGGCTTCAGTAATTGGCAACGATGACATCACTACTGGAATGAGAAAACTTGGGGATAGTAACTGATATCTGAGGAAAATCAGTCTCCAAAAATATTCTCCCTGCTTCCACTTCCCGCATCCCTTATTCACTTTTATTTTTTCCCAGCAGATTCTACTGTAGTGGAAATTTGGCCATATTTCTTCTCCTTTTAAAATTATTCAATGGATCTCCATGTCACACAGAATACAATCAAAGTCTTTATCTCAACCTATAAGGCCATGTATAATTTGTCTATTTTTATCTCTTAATTTTCTCAAATCACTAGCTCATTATGGCAAGCAAAACTGCTCTTAATTCCTCAAAATGTTCCTGGCTTACACTGTTTCAGGAATGGTGCATATGCTTTCAAAGTCTTTTCTCCATCTTCTCTTTAGTAACCTCTTCTTATAATTTAAGGTTCTGTTTAAATGGCACTCCCTCACAGAAGTCTTCCCTATTCTACGTGGATCTTCACTACTTATTTTCTGAGGCCCTTTTTGTTGTTGCTTTCCTGTGAAACACTTTTCACAATTGGAAATAATTTTATTGATGTGTGTGTTTATTTTCTCATCTATGTTCAATACAGTGGGGCCATTTCTCCCTCCTCGTAATTGTATGTCTGATGCCAACACAGTGACTAGTAGGGAGAAGAAATTCAATAAATATTTTCTAATGAATGGATAAAATTTTTCGATGAATTAGTGGCTATATTTTTGACAGCATACCTCAGTTACAATCTACTCCAGATTGTATCCTTCTGAAACTATTATTTTAAATACAGTTTGAAGTACTGCTTTTATTATTTTTCTATTAAATTATCTTCATAAATTACTGAACATATAATTGTATAAAGATGACTTCCAGTTTTGTCTTAGAAAATTATGCAGAAAAATCTATCTTACACATAAAAAGAAATAAATTTTAACTTACAATGTGAATTTTTAATGATAATTTAAGAAGCTTTTTAATGAGCTTCAACACAAGGAACAATAATTAACTAGCTCTGTTTTGAAAAAAAGATTTTTTTATCTCTTTTGGATTTTAATGTTTTCTGCAAATAACACTTTCTCCAGATGTCCAATATCCTATCTATTCTGTAAAGTTTTCTTTTTGTATATTTTGTTCAAACTCATCTGTACACAAACGTACATTTTAACTACATTTCAGGGAGATGGCCCTTTGTGTGGACAATATCATATTGTTGGACCACAGCTATGAATATGCTTCTGAGGATATTGCCAATTTCTTTTGCTAAGCATTACCTTGGTCTTAGTAATTGTTCTACTTATGCAGGATAAAAAGTGAAAATGCCAAGTCAACTGTACGATTAAATGTGCTCAAGAGACAGACATTCAGATATCTAAATGTTAACTTTATTAGAAATAGATTTTAGTAGTAATAATTAGTGATCACACTCCATATGCATGATAAAATTGATGAAAAAAAGTTAGGTAAATGTGAAATCTGCATATCTACGAAATAGTTTAAAATTTATACAAGACAATTAACTTCTATTCATCCTTCTGATAATAGCTCAAATAAAGCTTTCCCTGAGAAGCCTAGCCTGAATCCCTTTACTGAATTTAGTGACCCAGTTATTAGCTCTGCCTTTTCTCGTTGTAATCCTTGTAACAAGTTTTTAAAATGGATAATCTTGATAGATTATAAATCAAATATATCGACATCCTTCTCCAACCATTGCCTTCAACCAACAACTCAAAGGTTTTCTTTATTTTAAGCTTTTTGATATTAAATTCTAATCTGACCTAAAATCATTTGTTGGTGAAAACTTATTTGATCACCTTTGAACTACTGAGAGTTTTATTCTCCAAATACACTGAGGATATATAACGGGAATATGTATTTTATCATGAGTTCTATCCCAAACTCTGTGAGTGTTTCTCAGCATATGATCTGTTATAAATTCCAATCTCAGGAGTTTCATGTAACAAATTTTGGGCTTGAACAGCACATATATGTGAAAACATTATGCTCTTTATTTTTAAATTTGTTTAAAAATTACATATCATCTGATTTTGTTACTAAAAGTATGATACCTCATCTTAAAAAGCCAGGTTCTTTACATTCCATCAATTAAATTGGAAATAACTTCCATCAAGTGGTAAGCTTGGCAGAGGCCAGGGACAATTTTTTATTCTTCATTGTCTCTATGAACATTGTCCAGTATTTGGCACAAAGTAACTGTCCGCAGTATGACTAAATTAACAAAAAGAAGGAAGGAAAGAAGGAAGCAAAGAGGGAAGGAAGGAAGCAAGGAGGAAAGAAGGAAGGGGAGAAGGAAGGAAGGAAAGAAGAAAGGAAAGAAGGAAGGAAGGAAAAAAGGGAGGGAGGGAAGGAGGGAGAGGGAGGAATGGTAAACAGATTTGACTCAATTTAATACCTGAACTTTAGAATATGACTATATAATATACATATTAATATTACATATGAATATTACATTCATATATATTCACATTGTACAAAAATTTAGACATTGTATATTATATATATAATATGTGTGTATGTACACTGCAGCATTATTGTATCTAGAAAAGAGAATTTGAAATATGTGAGGTTGCTAAGATCTCATATAAATATGTAATCTATTAAATACCAAAATATTTTCTTTTGAAGAATTTTAAAATAATGTCCTGTACTAAGATCACAGAACAACTTAGCAGGAGTCTTTATTGATTTTCCTTATTTTTATTGTGAAGATTTTTCAGACATAATGAAAATTTAAAAGAATATTTCACACAAGATTAATATAATATCCACCTATATTTAGTAATTGCTAACATATTACCATATATTACCCATTTCACTAAATATCTCTTTAGATAGGTAGAATCATGGATATCTGAATATTTTGGCCCAAAACATTTCAGCATGAAATTCCAATAAATTAGGGCATTCTCCCACAGTGCCAATGGGTAAGATTTATTTTTTACTGCTGGACTGAGACAGCTCTATAATTATCTCCCAGAACATCTGAAAGTCTGGTACTGATTCCTGGCCAAAATGAGGGCAAGATTAAATACAGTCTGTTTAAAGTTTGAAACTCCTGTGGCTAGTTTATGTATTGATGGCTTACACCTGGTATAACCAGGCATGCAGCCTGACAAAAGGTTCACCTGGAAATTTGGGAGACCTTGCTTCTAAGTCAAAATTCCTCACAAAATCTTGATGGATTGTGTTTCAGAGATGAAGTATGTCCCATGCAAACACACATACACAATACAACACACACACACAACACACCACACACACACACACACACACACACACACACACACACACACACACACACACACCCCCTTACAACCGTGGATAGAAGCACCTGAAATGTTTGCCGGAGTCTATGGTGCTTGCCTGCCCTTGCTTTCTTTTACTCCATCATCCTCTGCTGCTGTAGTAAAAGCCTCGTGTGCATATGCTCTACAGAGTCTTATGAGTCTTTTCAGTATCCCAAACTGTGAAAACACTGACAATAATCATTTTAACAACTATGAAAATTTTATACTAATTCCATAATATCTAATGTGTTCTCTACATCCACCTTTTCCTAGTTCTTCACAATTCTCCCTTATATACTTCTAAAAAATAGTACCTCATCAATTTCATATTTTACATTTGTTTGGTAAGTCATCATATCATTTTGTCTTTTTATCTATAACAATCTCACCACTTTTTAAACTAAGATGGACTTTTTGAAGTTCAGGTCAGTTATTATTGTGTAGAATGTTCTACATCCTGTATTTGTTTGATAATTTCCTGCTGGTGTGGAGTAACTTGCCATGTGTTCCTGCATTTCTTGCACACTGGATATTAGGTTTAGAGGTATAACCACCCTTAGGTTAAACATTTTTATGGAATACTTTTCAAGTGGTGTGTTATTTATCACACATCAGAAGGTACATGCCAAGATGTCCTATTATTTCTGAAACTAAATTACATTTGTGATTCAAGTTTTTGCACTTCTAATTTTCTTTTGTAACTTATAAGTAACTGTAGGATGATGCTTTTTTGGTCATGTTATAATCTGGTGCTGATTCTCTACATTTTTGAAGTCACTAGATCTGCTACCTAATTATGCCAACTAAATTAAAATTTAAATGAAATTAACTGGTTTGATAGAGTAGCATTTTTAGTCAGAGCTCTTTCAATTGCCAACACTTCTAACTAAAAGACCTTTAGGCTAAATGAGTAGTAACTGGAAGATACTGGAGATATCAAGATTCAAAGGATGCTCTCTAGGAAGCAGAACAGCTCAAGGGTCCTGGCAAGTGGAACCAGGGACAGGACTCCATAGTGACTAAGGCTTCACTTCTCACCTCTGCTTCCATATGAGTGTAATGTTATTTTCTCCTATGACAGATAAGTTTATTTTTCACCATTAAAAGGTAAGAAACTCACTCATAACCAAAGTTGGAGGAGACAGTTTTTTTTTTCCCCAGCTTGCCTGTTAAAACCATAAGGAATGATTAATCTGCCATGGTGCTTGATGTGGCCCAGGGATGTGCTCAGACTGAGTCATGTAGGGGCAGGTGGTATTAACATTAGTTCAAACATGGAACCATGGCATGTGTTAGAAATAATGGCTTGTATTAGAAACTGGACATAAAATTGTTGTGAGCAAGAAAGTTACCTCAATTTGAGTCTACTAGAAGTTTCAGAGTGCCATTTCACATGGCCATAAAGTTCAGAAGTTCCAAAAGAAGCAAAAGTTTGACCAAGAAATCAGTGATTTCTTAAAAAAGAGAAATTGAGCTCAATCATGTTTTTTATATCTTCTACTGTACTAAAAGCTTTTTCTCAATAATTGACTAAAAGTTCATTAACTACTGCACAGACTTCAATATTTAGAAATGTAATACGGGCTTCCTAACTAAAAGTGAAGTTATTTTATTGTTGGAACTAGCTATTGTTAGAAAGACTCATTTGCTTTTTATAATAAAATTTTACATATGATTTATAGATTTACAGATTATAACAATTTATAGATGATTACCTCGTTAATTTATTGAATAACCTGACTAAATTACTTAGTCACTGAATTAAATACAACCCAGCCTTAATACTTTGGGTCAAGGAACATTGACCAAATATGTATTTATGCCACAGATTCCTTGAAATTTCTTACCAAAGTAAATTGTTTCATGAAAAACACAGAAATAAATTGGTAACTAAATAAAACATATTCTATATTTCAACTTGAAAAATTAAAGAAATTCATAATTCTTAAAATCAAAGCAATGATCATTTGTTTCCTAATTATTATTATTGTGAATGTACTTAAAATTTTTGCTATGCTTTTAAGAAAGATGTACTTCTATTAAAAATTATTAAAATAAACAGCAGAGAGACTGACTTTTCAAAATAGTTTATCTGGGAAGAGCAATGAACTGCAATTTGGGATATGCGTACCGTAGTGAACCATAGGCACATTTGAAAAACCTGGGGGAGCCAAAGCTTTTTTAAGGGTAAAAGGTGAAGTTCCCCATCAAACTACCATTGGCATTCTTCACAGAATTAGAAAAACCAATTTTAAATTTCATATGGAATCAAAGAAGACCCCATATAGCCAAGACAATCCTAAGCATAAAGAACAAAACTGGAGGCATCACACTACCTGACTTCATTACTACAGGGCCTCAGTAACCAAAACAGCATGGAACTGGTACCAAAACAGACATATAGACCAATGAAGGTGAACATAGACCTCAGAAATACACCACACGTCTACAACCACCTGATCTTTGACAAAAACAAGCAATGGGAAAGGATCCCATATTCAGTAATAATGTGGGAAATCTGGCTAGCCATATACAGGAAACTGAAACTTGACCCCTTCCTTACACCTTATACAAAAATTAACTCAAGATGGATTAAAGACTTAAATGTAAAACCCCAAACCATAAAAACCCTAGAAGAAAACCTAGGCAACAACATTCAGGACATAGGCATGGTGGGCAAAGACTTCATGACAAAAATGCCAAAAGCAATTGCAACAAAAGCCAAAATTGACAATGGGATCTAATTAAACTAAAGAGCTTCTGCACAGCAAAAAAAAAAAAAAAAAAAAAAAAACTATCATCAAAGTGAACAAGCAACCTACAGACTGGGAGAAAATTTTTGCAATCTACCCATCTGACAATGATCTAATATCCAGAATTTACAAGGGACTTAAACATGTTTACAAGAGAAAGACAAACAACGCCATCAAAAAGTGGGCAAAGGATATGAACAGACACGTCTCAAAAAAAGACATTTACGTGGCCAAAAAACATACGAAAGAAGCTCAACATCACTGATCACCAGAGAAATGCAAATCAAAACCACAGTGAGATGCCATTTCACGCCGATTAGAATGGAGATTATTAAAAAGTCAGGAAACAATACTGGAGAGGATGTGGAGAAATGGGAACGCTCTTACACTGTTGGTGGGAAAGTTAATTAATTCAACCATTGTGGAAGACAGTATGGGCATTCCTCAAGGATCTAGAACTAGAAATACCATTTGACCCAGCAATCCCATTACTAGGTATATACCCAAAGAATATAAATCATTCTACTATAAGGGAACATACATATATATATTTATTGCAGCACTATGTACAATAGCAAAGACATGGACCCAACCCAAATGCCCATCACTGATAGACTGGATAAAGAAAATGTGGTACATATACACCATGGAATACTATGCAGGTATAAAAAGGAATGAGAGCATGTCCTTTACAGAAACATGGATGAAACTGGAAGCCATCATCCTCAGCAAACTAACACAGGAACAGAAAACCAAATACCGCATGTTCTTACTCGTAAGTGGGATTCAAATATTGAGAACAAATGGACACAGAGAAGGAAACAACACACACTGGGGCCTGTTGGAGGTCAGGGGAGTGAGGGGAGGGAACTTAGATGATAGGTTGAAAAGTGTAGCAAACCACCATGGCATACGTATACCTGCAGTTCTGCACATATATCCCTTTTGTTTGTTTTTTGAAGAAGAAGAAGAAATAAAGAAAAAAAAGGTGAAGTTCATGTAAGTTATTTTAAAATAAACTGCACATACAAACCTGCACATTCTGCACATATATCCCTTTTGTTTGTTTTTTTTGAAGAAGAAGAAATAAAGAAAAAAAAAGGTGAAGTTCATGTAAGTTATTTTAAAATAAACCTCTTTGGCCCCAGAAGCTTATTGCTGGTATGGACAAATACTCACTGGTGATACTGGCTATTGCTGGGAAGATGTCTTCATAGAAGCGTTGTATCTAAAATTTTTGTAGTTTTCAGAGAGTCCTTGCAATAATTCTTTTAGAGACATCCATGCATGAAGGGCCTTCTTTTATACTCTCCCAGCTCCATTTTGTTGTGGTTTGACTTAAGTGAGTCAACTTCTTTGCTGGTAACTTTAACATTTCCCCCTTTTGACCAAGACTTTTTTCTGAAAGCATTGCTGATTAATCAGCCTATAGTTAGGTTTTGATTGTTTCTTGGTGCTGGAGTGGACCTTTCCCAGTTAGTCTGATCCTGCATCAGAGATGAATGGCCAGCAACTAAGAGCGGATGTCAAAACCCTTTTAGTCACATTTAAGAAACAAAGAGGTTCAGAAGGAGTGGCTCTCAGGATAAATCTGCCTGGAGTTCATTGCTAAGTTCAATTTTGTCAGTTCCATAGGCATTGACTACCATTTGGAAGTTCTGGACCAGTGTTATTCTGTTAGATGCATCATTTCTGCAGAGGTTGGACAGGAAACAGATAAAAAGTTTAAAAAGAATGATGCGGTACAAAATTAATAGTAACATGATAATATTGTCTATGAACATGGACCCAAAGGCAGCCAACTAATGAATCAAAAGTCTATGTGAGACTGAGTGAGATCTGTTGTAGCCATAAAGCCTGTCTTGCTATTTTATGCAATTAGGTCTTGACTTCCCCAGAGAAATATATTCAGGTACAGCATGTAGTTATTAGCAATGGCACAGACATTCTTGTTCAACCAGTAGATAATTGAGAGTTATCTCATCCTGTTCTGTTGTGTTATCTACGGCTACTCAGCAAGATACTTTAATGAGCACTGCTGGGCGGCAATAGCCTTTGCAGTGAAGCCTGCAATGAAACCCAAGGTGGCAAATAAGTCATTAGGGATGTTGCCATAGTTACCCACTGGGTGGACTAAAGGATCCCTTAGGTCATGTAAAGATGTGGGTTTGACACGACAGATCCAAAACTTCATTCAGTTACGGAAGCTACTGAATGTGAAATTCTAACCACAGCGTTGTTCTGCCAAGTGAAAAATGTAGGCATAAGCAAGAAAAAAAAGATAAGAAGGACAAGAGTCCAGTTTTGTTACAATGTCTTGGGAAAAGCTTTCCACACTGTGATGTCATCAACTTCTTACTCTGGTTTGTAGTTTGAATGTTCCTGGGTATAGCATGGGGCATTTTAGTCAATTCTCTTTGTAGCCCACAAAATAGCCATGAGATTTCTCTCTTGACATTTACATGGAGTTTTCTGGCTCCAACTTATAGGACTTTAGGAACAAGGCAGTTTATGTTCTTAGTTGGAGAATCGTAGCCAGATGTTGGAGGAAATTAGAATAATTAAGTGCCCTAATTTAGAGATAGATGACAAAAACTTGAAAAAAACAAAGAAAACTACAATCTAATAACAGGTGTACTGCAGTTTTTCTTCAGAAACATAATTTTTCTCTGTACAATCATCCCTATTTCTACTAAAGATAATCAGAGTAAGACTAATTTGTCTGCTGAATAAGTTTAGTCTCATTAAACTTGGCATGATTATTGACAACAGTGTAGCAAGAAAAGGGATGAAACATGGGCTGTTTTTAAGTTTATTTTGATGGAACTTTTGATAAGAAATCTCAGATTAGACTTTTAAAAGCCTTCCAAGGGTCAGAGGTCAAAGGAGGGCAAACATCAGACTTTGGCTGCAGTATCTAAAAATTTGCATGAATTTCTCTCTTCTTGAGGTCTCCAATATATCTTGACGTTCCTGGCCTGTCAAGAGGTAAAAATGTTTATTCACTCACTGTGAGCTTGGGAATCCTTGAAGCTAGGCATCCTATGCATAGTCTCAAATATCACATTCAAGTCAAGCCATTTATAATATAACCAATGTTTCTAATTCTATCCTGTTACAAAGAGAATAGACTTTTATTGAATTTATGCAAATAACTATGTTGCCATAAAATAAAAATATCAATAAGAGCTCTCTGAAGACTGCAGGCTCAGGTAGGAAGAAAAAATAAATATTTCCATTTTTATTTATAAAAGTATACTTTACCAAATTTCTGTATGCTATAGATAGCTTTTTAAAAGTTTTCTCAAATCTGGAAAACAAAAAATTTTAAAAAACAGCAAAGTGTTAAACAAAAAGTCACTCGAAAATATTGCCATCAGTTTGTTTAGTCCCATTCATTAAACTTATTCTACTTGATCTGGGTTAGATGTTTTAAGAAGCCATCGTTTCTTCATTAGAGTTCTGGAAATTCTTTCCCAGTCCAGTGGTATAATCTTAAACTCATAAGAAATCTAAATTCCAGCATACTTGTTAGAGTCCTTTTCATGAACCTCCTTGCAGAGGAAGTATTTTTCTTTCTTCATTTTAATTTATTCTCTACAATACTTCATTAGGGAGTTCAATGATTTGCACTCAGAAGTTAAATAGCCAAGAGGCAAGCAAGTATAATAAACTTCAGAATTGGACTGAGGTTGTTGCACTGAAGGCCATGTAGTCTTTTGCTTCAGGGAAATAACAACAAAAATAACCAAAATGAACACATAGCTCCCTAGGCTTCTGAATCTCAATAGAAAATAACATCAACATTTAATGAAATTGTAGATATTAACACATCATGGGAAAAAAGATACTGTGCAAAATATTATAATTAACACTGGGCACTTCTTTTGTCTAGATTTTTATTATAAACAATAAAATATATGTAATATCTTAACTACAAACCTTTCATGTTGAAAGGGCATCTAACATAACTTGTTTTAACATTATGAAGGGAAAAAGTTTAGAAATTTCAAAGTGGAAACAATCCAACACTAACAAACTATAGTGATCAAAAGTATTAACTTTTAAAGAAAAACAAGGACAATTCATAAAAGTAGAACTACCATTTGATCCAGCAATCTTACTGGTTATCTACCCAGAGGAAAAGAAGTCATTACACAAAAAAGATACTTGCACATGCACGTTTATAACAGCACAATTAGCAATTGCAAAAATGTGGAACCAGCCTAAATGCCCGTGAATCAATGAGTGAATAAACTGTGGTATATATTTGTGTGTGTGTGTGTGTGTGTGTGTGTGTATGCGATGCATATGTATATATATATATGCATAAATACATATATGTGATGGAATACTACTCAGCCATAAAAAGGAATGAATTAATGGCATTCATAATAACCTGGATGGGATTGGAGACTATTATTCTAAGTGAAGTATCTCAGGAATGGAAAACCAAACATTGTATGTTCTCACTCTTAAGTGGGAGCTAAGCTATGAAGATGCAAAGGCATAAGAATGATACAGTGGACTTTGGGGACTCAAGGGAAAGAGTGGGAAAGACATGAGGGGTAAAAGACTACAAATTGAGTTCAGTGTATACTGCTCGGGTGATGTGTGCACCAAAATCTCACAAATCACCACTAAAGAACTTACTCATGTAACCAAATACCTCATGTTCTCCAAAAACCTATGGAAGTAAAAAATTTAAAAAATTACAGAAAGGGAATGTGTTATGAGACAAGCCAAGTTTATAGACCAAAACATGCTCATAGCTAGGGATGAAACAAACCACAAACCAAGCCAGCAAAGTTGGGTTGATTCCTTGAAAAGAATGGTTACCTATTGTCCAGATTGAGTAGCCCAAACACAAAGGAAACACTGAGCGTAAAACATTCCCTTTTTTTTTAAACCTACCACTCACACCACATGCACTGATCACTCTCATCACTGCTTTGGTAAAGCATGTAGGATGCAGTTCAGTTTCAATTTGGAGCTGTTACCTCCCCAGGCAAAGCTGCCACACAGATGATCCAGACTTGGTGTTTTTCCTGAGAGCCACCTGCCACACATTTTCATGAGGTGACCGTGACTATACACATCCAGGCTACTTCCTGACTAGGCCCTGTTCAGGAAGCATCCTGAGGTGTCCATTCCTCGTGGAGCCAAATAGTTCCCTTGGTTGACTCCTGAGTCCCCTTGGCAAGCCAAGCAGAATTCAAGCATTTCTACTGCTAGCCTTGTGTGGGAGCATGAGCGAATGTAAAGGGAGCAAGGCTCTTCACTCCATAAACCACAGCCTAGTTCGGGGTGGTGCTGGACCAGCCCTATTCTTGGGTACTGAATTTCTTTTTCTCATTTGTTGGGATTTTAAATTTTCTATTTATTTTCTTAAATGGCAGGTATCCTACTGCATCTTCAATAAAATAAAATATATACATATATATGTTACACACTGGAGAAAACAAATAGGGGAACAGTTTGATAGTTTAGCACCATTTTTTGCTTTTATTTAACCTTTAGAAGTAAAACACAATTATTAAAATAGAATGCTTCAGCAGTAATAAGTGTAGCCCTATGTATCAATATTATTGTACAAATTGGATGTGGGTGGCTTAATCCAGAGCTGACCACCCTGATAATAATCCAGAAAAAAACTATTGTTACATCTGTTTGTAACAAGACATTTATTATTCTCAGCACCAGGACATCATTAAATGACTCCTTGATCCTCATTTACTTCACCAAGGGAAACATGGCAGGCTACAGAAACTCAGCACAGCAGTTAGTGGGGCTGTGCCCTGGGTGCCCTGATGTCACCCACATTTCCCTTGCATGTCTCAGGTCCTAATGAGCAGTGCAGGACAATGTTGAGCCAACCTACTCACCCGTGCCCATTCCTTCCCAGAAACTTAAAGGTGATCCCTATAATAGCACATATGTCCTTTCCCAAATTGTGTCTTTGCTCCCCTAACCCCATTCTTGGCAGAAGAAAAAACAAAACATCTCTTGACTTGAATATTTGCTTATTTTAGAAACCTACACAATCACCATAAACTTAAAAAAAAAAATCAAAATGTTGTTTTCACTGGGTTGACACCTATCTGCTTCAAGAATTCTCTAAGCATGTTGTTGAAAACCAGTGTAACATCTTTAGGATCTTTCTCCCAACTGACCAGTCTTCCTGTGAATCATTTCAGCAGTTCCTTTGTGGCGATGTTTACAAAGCATCTTCTAAGTCCCCTAATTCTATGAGCTTTGCTATCAAAATAGTGAAGAATAGGCAAGGGGGAGAAAAAAACTAGCTGACAGCTATTTGGAAATCAGCAACAATGTGAAAGAGAAATGTATCACATGAAAGTTTGAAAGACATGGAATAAATGAGCTCCTTGGAAATTTGCCCTGGCGGAGTGAAGATTCCCACTTTATCTTCTTAGGCAAGATAAAGATTGACCTTATGTAATTACACAGCTTTGTTTAAGCATCCTGTGAAAGACTGAAAAATCAACTGTCTTCCTAACTCTACAGGCAAACTAGAAAAAGGATCTCCCTGCTTACTGGTCCCTCAGGATGTTTTCCTGAAAAGAAAACCAGCTTAGAGATACTGGATTTTCTTCTATGACAAAGTGTCCTCTTAAAGTCCAACCCAAACTTGTTTGCACACTTACACTTCTGAAAGCCTAGGTCCAACTATAGGGCTGATACCGGGAGAGAAGTGAAGTAGCTGGGTGGTGAGGAAGTGGTCTCTCCTTTCACATCTCTGTGCAGTAATGATATCAAGACCCCTCGTGGACATCTCTATTCCATTCCTCAGTCAGTGACACCACAGAGCTCTGTTTGATACCAGGAGACTTAATGCAGGAAAAGTGACAGAAAGTCCAACTGATAGGATGAAAATTATAATCTTCAAGGATTATTGAGCCCTGAGATCTGTAATGCTATCATAGGGTTTCTGATCCTGATGTGGGTCTCTGTCCAGGATCCTTGAAGAAATTATGGCACCCACATCCAACCCTAACATAGCTTCCACTTACGAAACAAGGAGGTTGTAATGAACTCTTGGTATGTAATAAACTGGAAGTTCAAAAATGTAATTTAAAACAATCTAAAAGAATTTAATGTTGGTCTCCATTGCACAGACTGCTAGGGGAATATATCAACTTGATTTGGGGAGGCTGTAGAGGTATATAGAGGAGTATATGGGTTAAACCTTAATGGATCATCAGTTTCAGAGAAGAGGCAATTTTTTATTGTAGCTGATTGCAAATGCTTTTAGAAAAGAATGAAAGCAATCAGTCCCTGTGGATGACAGACTTAGAGTGGCCATGGTTAAAAATCTCATGGAGTTTATTATAATAATAATGTAATTGACAAAGAAATTTGTTTATTTCTGTGGCATACAAAACTTGAAGATAATAACCAAGATTATGACCGATAACATATCAGATTTTGAAGAATTTAATATAATTTTGTAACACATATCAATAACATTCTGAAATACAACTTAAAGAAGGTTTAGCACCACTTAGTATTTGACAATACTCCCTATATAATTTAATATATCAAGTAAGTCTTATTAGTTTAATATATCTCTTTACAATGTGAGATACACATTCTTTGATCTTTCCAGGGGTCCAAATGAGAAATATCAAAATTAACTTGAGGGCAAAAAGAGTTAATTTAAAATATTATTTTGGGAAGTTTGTCAAAAACATCAAACAGTTTAAAACACTTTGTCAGAGTACAATAACAGGTAACCAAAATGAAAATTAAAAGATTTCAAAAAATAAATGTAGAAATTTACATAATTGTCAACAAAAACATAGGTTTTTAATACTGAGAACACTTACTTTTCTCTTTTTTTTAACTTTTATTTCTGGTTCAGGGGTACACATGTGAGTTACTTAACGCATTTATATAGGTAAATTGTGAGTCACGGGGTTTGGTGTATAGATTATTTCATAACCCAGATAATAAGCATAGTACCCAGTAGGTAATTTTTTAATTTTCATCCTCCTTCCTCCGTCCACTCTAAAGTAGGCCCTAGTGTCTGTTGTTCCATTTGTGTCCATATGTACTCAATGTTTAGCTCCCCTTATAAGTGAGAACATATGGTATTGGGTTTTCTAGGATAATGGCCTCCAGCTCCACCCATGTTGCTGGAAAAGAGATGATCTCATTCTTTTTACGGCTGCATAGTATTCCATGTTGTATATCTACCACATTTTCTTCATCCAGTCTACCACTGATGAGCATTTAGGTTGATTCCATGTCTTTGCTATTGTGAAAAGTGCTGCAGTGAACATACACGTGCATGTGTCTTTATGGTAGAATGATTTGTATTTCTTTTGGTATACACTCAATAGTAGGATTGATGAGTTGAATGGCACTTCTGCTTTGAGTTCTTTGAGAAATTGCCACACTGCTTTCCACAATGGCTCGACTACTTTACATTCCCACCATCACTGTATAATCATTCCCTTTTCTCCACAACCTCACTAGCATCTCTTATTTTTTGAGATTTTAATAATAGCCATTCTCATTGGTGTGAGATGGTATCTCATTATGGTTTTGATTTGCATTTCTCTAATGATTAGTGATGTTGAGCATTTTGTCATATGCTTTCTGGCCACATGTATGCCCTCCTTTGAAAGTGTCCATTCATGTACTTTGTGTACGTTTAAATGGGATTGTTTGTTTTTCACTTGTTGATTTTTTTAAGTTCACCAGATGCACTGTGCTGGGGTTCTGTGATAGTCCCTAATTGCTGTGCACCCTCCCAAGCCTGAGAGCAGCAGGAGGGAGGGTTGCGAGACAGCAAAAAGGTGGACTGCCTCTCTCTCTGGGAGCTTCATGCCGGAGAAGTGTAGAGCTGCTCCCAGCTGGAGAACTCAGGAGGACTAGGGTGGCCTCACTAGCATCCCAGGCTAGTGGGCCTTATCCTACAAGGTTCAGTGGTGGTGAGGTCTGCAGTCTATCACTGCTCAGCCCCATGGACTTGGCCCCTTTTCTGGGGAGCATGCAAGAAAACTTGGCCTTCCCAATTGCTGGAGCTGCAGCCCCTGGTTTTGGGGTACCCAGGGAACAAATGCTACTGGGACTCCACACCTACCTAAGAAGCAGCTCTACCCAGACTCCACATGGCTCTCTGTTTTGGTCTGGAGACCCCAGTTGGGGTATCTCCTGAGCCCAGGGATTCAAAGGTTCGTGGCAGAAATATGCATCCCACGGGACTCTCACTCACTCACCATTTTCTTGTAGGGGGATTCCCCTGGGTCTGTGCCACTCCTGGGTGAATGGTTGATCTGTCTCACTCTTCTCCGTGATCCGAAGGTCACACTATGTCACTGATGAATCCTATGTGTCCATCTGGATGTTCCGGTTGAAGAGCTAGTGTCTACTCACCTCACCACTCTTTCTGCTATTTGTGAGAGTGGCACACACTAGCTGCTTCTAGTCAACCATCTTGGCCCCACCTCACTCACTTTTCTCAAGTAATCAAAGACCTAATAAAAGAGAGCATAAAGCATAAGAAATTACCTTGATAAACAAAAAATCTTGGTTTATTAGGCCAGTTATCTAAAAGGTAGAGAAAACATTTCACTATTTTCTATTAAGAGCAGGTCAATACTCAAAGAAAACCTTGTTGTTTTAGCACAGGGGACAAATTTCAAGTTTTCCATTCCTGTACTTTTGATAATAATGCTCAAGTTTTCAGAACTATTTATAAATAATTTCCTTTTAACTTTAGACAACTTGGTCACACATGAAATTCTTTTCACAAGATTAATCTTCCACAAACTTTCTATAAATTTGTCATCCAGTTATCTTATTCAGTTTTTGTCTATATTTTTTCTCTTTTTCCTTTTGGAACAATAAGACATTCTACTTTTAGACAAAAAATACTCTCTTTTTCCCTTAACAAAAACACAACCTCTTACTTATAACTTTCTTTATGTGTTTTCCTTCCCTCACATACAGATTTGTTTCCCTTCATTATTTCTAGTTTAAATTACTCTAATATTAATTAACTCTTAGTAACCTTAATTTCTAGTGAAAATTAGTAAGCATTTTGAAGTGCATCATGTTAGTATTCTACAGATGAACACCATCTCATAAAATAATTTTTATGCCTTTAATTACCAGACCCAAATATGTTTAGCTTTTCCATAACATGTGAAACCAAGATGCCAAATTACATATATTTTAAACTTCTGTTAAGCAATTGATATTTCAGTATTTTCCTTAGAAATGACTCAAATATTAAATCAGTAAAGTGTTACTTAATTTAATATAACATGATTTTAAGATTTCAAGTCACACTAAATTATTTTTGAAATTCTGACTTTATTATAAACCTTTTGTCAATTTATATTCACCTAATTCACTTGTTCTTAACAATTGTGCTTCAGTTCCTCCTTAAACACAACTATGAGTGGATTTATAGCTTTAAGACATTCATTATACATCTCAGTAATAGCAAGCTTGTTTCACTAGTAACTTTAGGTATAAAAACTGTATCTGTACATTGTAATTAATGCTGACAATTCTGAAAATATTTGTTTTTATTTTGCCAACAAATTTTAAAACTAGCTTTATCTGCCAAAGATTATTTCATCACATAAGCCAAAAGGCAATTGAGTTTCTGTTTTTCTGAGAGAATTCTTACTTTAAACACTTATGTTTTCTCTGTAAGCCAATTAAGTAGAGCGGTTTATGAATTTTGGTAGAAAAAAATTATACATACACACACACACACACGTAGAAAAATACAGACAGAGGAAGAACTTACAACTTGCATTAAGAATTGTTATTTGCCTGGCTTGCAAATAGTTTTACTCCCTCTTTCAGACTATCTGTCTTTTAATGATCTGTTCAACTGGCCCATAAACAAGTGTTAGTTAGGCCACCCAAAATTTGTACTTCCAAAGAGATGATTTTTAGGTGAAGGAATGTAGAAAATTTAAATCTCAAAGGTACAGAACTTAAACAACACTATTTGTTGAGATGAAAAAAAGCATATATAGGAAGCATTCAAAATGAAATGGTCAAGGGTGAGTTTACACAGATAGATAGATTTAGGTCTCTCCTTTTGCTTTGTGAAAGCATCTAGTGTTTTAGGTGTCAGAGAGGGAGATATCCTTACAAAGCAGAGATTATCATTACAGGTTTACATTTCTTACAAAGAGTTTCAAAATAAACAGGTAAATGCCAAAAACATATATTTTGGAGACTGATTTAGTTCACTAGTTGGTCTTTTCAACTTAACTTGTTTCCTAATGAGATTAAATTCATGCATAAATAACCAAACCAAAAATTAAACCAAAAGAATACTCACCAGAAAGGATGTCCTTTACAAGAGCAGATCCCCCAAAATGTAAGAGTTCACTGAAAAGGTAGGAGCTCAAACCAAGAGAGGACTTATCTCGCAGCATAAAGACAACTTGTACAAGTGAAGATCACAATGGGCTCAGGTGAGTATCATACACAATTTCAAGTATCGCCAGTCCAAAGAAGGCTTGGAGCCTTTGCATCTTGCTTCTGACATTAGATTATGTCAACTTAAACAACAGAGATACTGACCCTCTAAAATAAAGAGTGTATTCAGGAAATAGCAATAAATTGCAATTGGAAATACACATGCTATGGTGGACCTTAGGCACCAAAGAAGCTGAGGGACTGTATTAGTTTGTTCTAGCACAAAGAACTACCTGAGACTTGGTAATTTATAAAGAAAAGAGGTTTAATTGACTCATGATTTCATAGGCTCTACAGGAAACATGATTGGAGGAGGCCCCAGGAAACTTACAATGATGGCAGAAGGCAAAAAGGAAGGAGGCATGTCTTACATGGCCGGAGCAGGGGGAAGAGGGCAAAGGGGAGATACCACACACTTTTCAACAACCAGGTCTCATGAGAACTCACTATCACAAGAACAGCAAGGAGGAAATCCACCCCCATGATCCAATCGCCTCTCACCAAGCCCCTCCTCCAACATTGGGGATTACAATTCGACATGAGATTTGGGTGGGGACACAAATCTAAACCACATCAGGAAGGCAAAAGTCTTAAAAGAGAAATTTTATGTAAGTTTTGTAATAAACCTCATGGGCCAGAGAAGCTTATTACAAGAGTTGGGAAATACTCATTGATAATATTGGCTGTTGCTGGAGAGATGTCTTCACAGAATTATCATATCTAACATTTTTGTGGTTTTTGAGAGAACCATTGCAGCAGTTCTTATTATAGACATATGTACATGAAGGCCCCTCTTTCATGGCCTCCCAGCTTCATTTTTTTATGGTTTGATGTAAGTGACTCCATTTTGGTGCTCACAACTTCCACATTTCTCCCTTTTGGTTGAAATATTTTTCTGAAAGCATTTCACACTTAAAAGATATAGATTGGCCGGGCACGCTGGTTCACACCCGTAATCCCAGCACGTTAGGAGGCGGAGGTGGGTGGATCACCTGAGGCTGGGAGTTCGAGACCAGCCTGACAAACATGGAGAAACCCCATTTCTACCAAAAATACAAAATTAGCTGGGCGTGGTGGCACGTGCCTGTAATCCCAGCTACTCAGGAGGCTGAGGCAGGAGAATCACTTGAATCCAAGAGGCAGAGGTTGCAGTGAGCTGAGATCACGCCATTGCACTCCAGCTTGGGCAACAAGAGCGAAACTCCATCTCAAAAAACAAAAACAAAAACAAACAAACAAAAAATGAAATAATTGTAAAAACCAACTATAGTTCTCAGTAATGATAGTTTCATTACTGTCAGCTATTAGTAGAGTTAATTAACTCCTATCAACCTCACATTTTCCATTTAAAAAATACAGGAGAAAAAGTTTGATGTGGGTTTAATGAGAAAATTTATATAAAATAGATCTAACTACTATATTTATCACAAAATAGATGCACAAACTATGTTTTTTTCTCTCACTTGTTCTTATTTTATGTATCATTTTAATTGAGGAAATCATTGAGCATAATGTAACAAATATTTTCATAAGTTATTATAAAGAGGGTTTGAAGGACTTGTTAGAAAGTGTCTGGCAGTGGAAAAAACATCTGAATAGAAAATGAAAATAGCATGTGAATGCTGAAATAGCATAATAAATAGCTGCAACTCTAATATAATTTATATTTGGATTTTAGTATAGACAGATTAATTAAATTTATTTCTACAGTCTTTTCAGTTGTTAAACATTTTATTGAACTCTTCATGTGCCTTTCAGATGTATTGTGCTTCAAGTGTGCTTGTACCAGCTTTTTCTGTTTAGAAATGCTTGAGTGTCTCCATTGTCAAAACGATCAGAAGGCAGTAATTGTATTTCCAATGTGAGGACAAACAATACTAGATATCCTGCAATCCTACATTGTAAAAAATATTCCCATCAAATGCCCCAATGGATAGACACGTAAGTGATCATCTGTAATTATTTAGTCAAGAAATGAATATTTTACATGTAAATACTTTGAATGGCTTAATACAAACTAAATTTTTCAGAATGCAACCACTATGGAAATTGAAGAGAAAAAGTCTTTTTATTGTAGAAACTTCCAAGAGTCTTTCAATATTTACAAAAATTATGTTGCTAATGGCAATACCTTAGTTATTTGAATCACCAGTAGAACACACTATAAAAACATGCAGTGTCACATCTGTACCCTGTCACATCCAGGATAATGATAATATTGAGATCTATAACTATTTAGCCCTTATTTTAAAACATCAGGTAACAAGCATCAATCAATTTCTGTCAAATGTTTCAACTTGGGTATTATAGCATAAGCAGAAATATACTGTTACCAATATCCCAGCCAATTTCTTTTCCTAATGAAACAATAAAACTGAGAATGTAGAGACCATTTAGTAAAGTTGATATATATATGTGTGCATATGTGTGTGTGTGTGTGTGTGTGTGTATACATATATATATATACACATAAATGTAATTAATACAATAGATGAGGTCAAAGAAGCAAGTGATACACAACTTTTAATTTGGATGGGATGTCCTTGAAGATTCCTGTATTAGTCCTTTCTCACATTCCTATATGAAAATACCTGAGACTGAGTAATTTATAAAAGAAAGAGGTTTAATTGACTCACAGTTCCCTATGACTGGGGAGGCCTCAGGAAACTTACAATCGTAGTGGAAGGTGAAAGGGAGGCAGGCACTTTCTTCACAAAATGGCAGGAAAAAGAAGGATGGAAGGAGGAACTTGCCAAACAGTTGTAAATCCATTAGATCTTGAGAGAACTCACTCACTATCATGAGAACAGCTTGGGAGAAACCACCTCCATGATTCAATTACCTCCACCTGGTCTCTCCCTTGACATGTGGGGATTATGGGGTTTACAATTCACCATGAGATTTTGAGTGGGGACACAGCCAAACCATATCAACTCCTAAATCTTAATACACTTTATTACTAGCTGATATGATTTGGATCTGTGTCCCTTACCAAATCTCATGCTGAATTGTAATCCCCAATGTTGGAGGTGGGGTCTCGTGGGAGGTGACTGGATCATGGGGGCAGATTTCCCCCTTTGATGCTGTATCATGATAGCATCCTCATGAGATATGGTTGGTGAAAGTGTGTGGCACCTTTTCTCTTCCTCTCAGTCCTGCTTCTGCCTTGCAAGATTCGTGCTTCCACTTTGCCTTCTGCCATGAGTAAAATCTCCCTTCAGCCTCCCCAGAAGCAGATGCTGCTATGCTTCCTGTTCAGCCTGCAGAACTGTGAGCCAATTAAACTTCTTTGCTTTATAAATTACCCCATCTCAAGTGTTTCTTTATAGCAGCAGTGTGAGAACAAGCTAATACACTAGCCTTCTTGAATACATCTTAGCAAGCTCTCGAGCAGCATAACCACATACATTAGAGAAGGCCAAAACTGACAGATTCCCATCTTGACCAAAGTTTAATCATTCTTCTCTAGTCCCTCTTCTCAGGCCCAGTTTTAGCAAAGACTCCTGCTAAGCCAGTTCACTGAGAATCACTTTGCCCTTGATATCTTATCACTTTGGCATGCCTTTAGCAATAATGCAGTTTAGCAAGAACCCCGCTCCCCGCCACCCCACCCCCCGCCACCCTTAATATCTAATTAGTTTCTATCCACTGACTCACTCACTCAGCTCTTTGCTTATAAATTTCCAGCTCCATGCTGGGAGAAATTTTAGTTCAATCTCTCTCTACTATAGCTATATTATTCCCCCATTGCTATAGTCCTGAATAGTCTTCCTTGCTATTTTTAACAAGCATCCAGTGTACACATTTCCTTTTGACAAAACATAGTGTCCATATGTAGAGGGAAGAGGAAAGCTAACAAAATATAAAGTCATCCAAACCACACACACCTTAGACAAGCTTATCATGTGTGGGAATAAAATGCTGGAGGTGGGCTTGGCTTCCAAAAAAAACAAGTGTGTAATTTGAAATTTCATATCAAGAACAGTTAAATTCCCAGATTCTTTATCATTACTGAATACCTTAGTAATTATTCTTCATTTTACACAACAGGAAATAGGAGATTTATTTTCTGGAGAGACTTGTCCAATTAAGGTGGGGATATGGTTGCTCTGTTGAGCAGAAATTTGGCTTGTATAGACCCAAAGCTCAGAAAAAGAGTTATAGATCTAAAATGACAATCATTGAGACAATAAAGTTCATGGAAACCACGATGGGAAGGATCTACGTGGAAATAAAAAGTTGGATTTTCAGTAGAGAAATTGGTAACAATGTAAATTTCCTCTTAAAGTCAGGTGAGAACTAATTCTGAAGTCAGAGGAGGAAAGTAGCCTACAACAAAGAGTAAGATCATCTTGACAGGATCAGGGAGAAAGATAATAGTTGCAAATGGAGACAGGTATATTGATTTAGTGCCAGGTAGTTGAAAGACTATGAGTATAAAGACTTATATTGTCTCTGTGTTGCAGTAGCAAAGTCATCTGCAGAGAGAGAGAAGTGAGAAGGGAGAAGAGAGTGTCAGAAATTAGAGGATTGTAGAGATTGAAAAAGTTATGTCAGGCAAAATTGAAAACCCGGTTTCCAATGGTGATCATTGTCTTAAAATATTATCAGTTTGTTTTCTTGCATGACATTCTTCAGCAGCAGTCATGGACTGAGAAATATGCAGAAATCAGATAGTTGAGTTCATCTAGAGAAGAGGTTGCAATGTGCTTCTAAAAAGGACAAAACCAAAAGCAACCGAGAGAGAGAGAGAGAGAGAAAGAGAGAGAGAAAAATGAAGATGTGAAAGGGGATAGGTCAAAAATCAGTAATTTTTTTTAAGCAAAGGGCCAGATAGTAAATATTTTTATTTTGTGAGCCATGTTGTCTCTGTAGGAAGTACTCAGTTCTCCCATGTTGTGCAAAAGCAACCATGGACAATAAGAAAATGTGGCTGCATTCCAATAAGAATTTATTTAAAAAATAGGTGATGGATTGTATTTAGCCCAAGGGAAGCAGTATGTCAATTCTGGTTTTATGTTACTAGCAATTACATTTTAAAATATTCAGTAACGGAATCTACAATATTGATTCCCAACTATTGCTGCATATTAGTATCACAATAGAATGCCAGGTCCCAGAGACACTGGGTCAGCCAATCTCAATTGGGGCCAAGGCACTCATATGTATCTTTGGAACCTCCTCAGGCAATTCTAACATAAAGCCAGTGTTGAGAAGAGCCATTGTTAGTTTGCTTGTGGGAGTAACTGACCGCAGGAGGATCATAATGCAATAGGCGAAGGCTGAGGCACCAGTGGATTGAAAGTCTTAGTGAGGCAGGAGAACAGCTGCAGTGGGAATTGTTGCCACACTGAACAGACAGGAGATTGATCAAAGAGTGGTGTGCTTATTTAGTCATTTAAGAGGAATATCATGTTTTGTCATTATACATTTCATGGGTTTGGTAAGCAGCCTCTAAAATTGCTCCATGTCACTTGTACCCCTGGTAGAGGTAACTCCTTGAGGAATCTTCTACTCTGTCGTCCTAGTTGAATTTATCTCACTTCACTATCAAATAGACTGTGGCAAAAGTGATGGATATCACTTCCAACATTAGGTTGCACAAAGACTGTGGCTTCTGTCTTGGGAATCCTCTCTCTCTTTCATTGTAAGGGAAGCTGACTTCTATGTTGGGCGCTGCCTATTAAGAAGTCCACATAGCACGGAGCCAGTGTCACCAGTCACAGCCAGCAAGGAAGGTCCTGGGGACTGCCCCCAGCCACATGATTAATCTTAGAAGTGAATCTTCCCTAAGTAAGGCTTTTAAATGATGGCAGCCTTATGAGAGTCCTTGAGCTAGAGGGCCTTACTAATTCTGATATAGTTCTTGACCCAGAGAAGTTGGCATAATGAATGTTTGTTGTTTTAATCCACTAAGTTTTGGAGGTAATATGTTAAGCATCAACAGATAACTAATAAAAGGAGTGATTCTGAGCAAGAAAGGCTTAAGTGGAGGGAAGCTAAGGTCGAATAGTTTATGAATATCATCCTGTAAGAATACAGGGCTTGGAGCTTTGAAGGTGGGAGCAGAAAAAAATTTATGTAAGCTTGTCATTAACAGTGTGACTAAAAAAGTTCATTATACTGAAGGATAAATGCTTACATGTGCCTCAGAGAATAGATGTTTTTATTCCTGGGAAGAAAGATAAACTTTTTCAAAAAACATAAAGATTAAGTAGGATGAAGTTTCCAGCTTTGGATTCTGACATTCAGGACATGGGGAGGGTGATGAGCTTCTCCTGGAGGACTGAATTTAGGACACAATCAAGTTCATGATGGAAGCCCTTATGAGGTAGAGAGGGAGTGCATCTCAGCTCTTTCGATTAATTAAATGATTGTTTGAATTGGAGAAGGTGTGGGTATTTTGTGTTGTTTGGGTGAGTACATTGGAATGGTTTTCTAGCATTCCTTTGAGATTTTCCACAGTATAAGTTAAGGTAAAAGAACATTTTTACTTGTTTCAGAAAGCATACAGAGCAAGCTTTAATGTTACTATTAAGTAGGTAGGGAAATGACCAATATTATAAACGCAGATTTCCAGCCTCTCCTTTTAATGCTTTCAGAATGATTCCAGAAGAACCTTGAAAATGTTGAGTATTTATATTTATTTTATGCCCTTTTATTGGGATTTTTTTAATAAATAAGTTTTTTTGGTAAATACTGGAAGTTAATATTCTATAGTTTAGAAAAGCAATTTTGAACACTCAACTAGTGAGCCCATATAAAACTACATAACAGCACAGAATATAGTAAAATAATAATATAATGAACTGGGATACAAACTAGGCACTTTGTGCCAAGTTTTTCAAGGAAGATACAATTTCAATACCAATGAAATAAACTCCCACAAATTGATTTTTCTTTGTGCGCACTCATCAGTGTAAATACAATTAAGTAATAAAGCCTGTACTTGTTCAGGAAAGATGTTTTCTATTCATAGTCTGATATCTGGGTGCTTTGGTTTCTGATAATTTGTTATGTAAAAACCCTGCAAATTAAAAAAAAAAATCAGCAGCTCCAAGTTCATGGGCCCTTATCACAGAGGATTTAAAACCTGTGCATTTTCTTTAAACTGAGAATATTATTACATTTTTTAATCCAGTGATGAGACCATAATAATTTTCTGAAATAATTCAGAATAATTATATACCTAAAAGTTAATTTGCATGTGCTGTAATTTAAATAAAAGGACAGTTAATTTTTGCATTACAAAACATGAAAAATAAAATCAAACGTTGCATCTTTACTTTTGTTATTACATAAATTCCTTTACATTGTAGTGCCCCCTAGCACCACGCAAGTTTATAAACTGCTTTCAATATTATTTATGTTATTATAATAATAACTAATTTAAGAATGTATTATTAAAGTCAGTAATTTAATAATAATAATTTCAATAATATATGTGTCACAAAAATACCTGAAATTACAATTAGTATATCTGGTTTACTGATGGGAATACTGTGGCTCAAAAATATCATCTCAGGCAGGGTGTGGTGGCTAGCTCATGTAATCCCAGCACTTTGGGGGTCCAAAGCAGGTGGATCGCCTGAGATCAGGAGTTTGAGACCAGCCTGGCCAACATGGTGAAACCTCATCTCTACTAAAGTACAAAACCAGTCCAGCATGGTGGTGCACACCTGTAATCCCAGCTACTCGGGGGGCTGAGGCAGGAGAATCACTTGAACCCATGAGGAGGAGGTTGCAGTGAGCCAAGATCACACCACTGCCCTCTAGTCTGGGTGACAGAGCAAGACTCCTTCTCAAAAAAAAAAAAAAAAAAAAAAATCATCTCACCCAAATCATGTAGCTACAAAGTTATGGTTTAGAATAATTCAACTATTTTACTGATATCAAAACTTTTACTATTAACCAATCAATTACACTCAGCTTTGTGTAACTGAATACCAAATAACATCATGTTCCAGTAATTTTCATTTGAGTGAGAAGGCGAGCGCCGGACAGCGGCAGGGACTCGCCACCCGCAGCCGTGGAGCCGGGCCATGAGCGCCTGTGCGGCGCTGGGTCGCTGTCCAGCAGATGTCTGCGCGGGAGACCCAGATATGTATTACTTGCATGAAGATCTCTTTCTAGGGATTGATGTTTTCCATTAGTGAAACCTAGTACCATGAGTTATGGGACTCCCCTTGCTATCATTCCGTGCTCAATATACAATCTCTGACAGGCTTAGATGGCTAGCTTACAAGGAAGGAAATATATGAATAATAATAATAAAATGTTACTTAATAAGTATTATTCCAGGCATTTTATATAAATCACCTTATTTATGCCTTACAGCACTCTCTTGAGATAGAAATTTCCAGGTGTTGCTCAATGAGACAGAGGTGATGCCTCTTGGAGAACGGCAGTGGCTGCATAGGCAGTTTCCTTAGTGATGTCACTTCTGGTTCTCTCTCATAAGCTCTGATATATGATTTTATCAACAAACTAAGTGAGGCTATCTCTTAAGAGTGCATTAACCAACCACACAGATACCAAGTAGATTACAAATCCATAAATTTTCACTGTGAAATAAAATTGTCAAGGTGTTTGCAACACTAGAGTTGCAGGTCTATACATTCTTTGCTCACAGGGAAGCTGCACTAAAAGTCAAACTGTAATAAAAATGGCATTTTGTTAATTTATAGCAAAATATAAAACTGTCAAGCAGATCAAGAGTTCATTCTCTATGTTATCTACCAACAAAGTCAAATGCAAATAAAATGATGAGTATAAATTCATAGCAAGAAAACCCAAACAATAGAACAACAGTTCTTCAGGACAGTTAGCCTGATAAGAATGACGATTGGACACCCTTACCCAAGACACTCTCTTCTGTCAAACACTGATGACATAAACATAGCACTGAGGGGACAGGCATCCTGGGATGTATATGCAGAGTGAAGAAAGGATAAAAATTTGAAAAAGAAAAAAACAAACACATGGATCATTCACTTGTGTAAATCATGTATAATAAATCACAGTTCTATTTCCTCTACATTGCTAGAAAAATTATAAATTTTTATCAAGATTAAGATGAAATGAGGCCGGGCGCAGTGGCTCACGCCTGTAATCCCAACACTTTGGAAGACCAAGGCCAGTGGATCACTTGAGGCCAGGAGTTTCAGGCCAGCCTGGCCAACATAGTGAAACCCCATCTCTACTAAAAATACAAAAATTAGCCGGGCGTGGGTGGCGCATGCCTGTAATCCCAGGTATTCGGGAGGCTGAGGCACGTGAATCACTTGAACTGGGAGGGGAAGGCTGTAGTAAGCCACGATCGCAATCTTTTGTGACACTCTGTCTCAAAAAAGAATAATAATAAAAATTTAAAAATTGAGAGACCATAATTATCTCAAATTTGTCAAATACTTTTCTGTATCTATTAATATGATTATATAATTTTTCTTCTTTAGCCTATTGGTGTGATATATTGATTCTGGATGTGGAATCAACCTTATATACCTGGAATAAATTCCACTTGGTCATAGTGTATTTTTTTTTATACATTGTTGGATTCAATTTGCTAATATTTTATTCAGAATTTTTGCATCTGTGTTATGAAAGACACTGGTCTGTTGTTTTCCTTTCTTGTAACATCTGTGTCTGGTTTTGGTATTAGGGCAATGTTGTCCTCCTAGAATGAGTTAGGAAACATTTACCGTGCATCTATTTTCTGGAAGAGGATATAGAAAATTGGTATAATTTCTTCCTTAAATGTTTGGTAGAATTCACCAGTGAATCCGTCTGGGCCTGGTTTTTCTCTTTGGGCAAGATATTATTAATTCCATTTTTAAATAGCTACAGGCCTGTTCTAATTGCCTGAGATATTATTAATTCCATTTTTAAATAGACATAGGCCTATTTCTCCTTGTGTGAGTTTTGGTAGATTGTGTCTTTCATAGAATTAGATCATTTCATCTAGGTTATCAAATTCGTGAGCACAGTTGCTCATATTTCTCTACTATCCCTTTAATATCCATGGAATAAATAGTGATGACCCCTCTTTCATTTCTGATATTAGTAATTGGTGTCTTCTTTTTCTCTTAGTTAACCTGGCGAGAGTTTTTTCAAGTTTTTTGATCTTCTGAAAGAATTAGCTTTTGGTTTTGTTGATTTTTCTCTATTTCCTCTTTTCAATTTCATTGGCTTTTGCTCTAATTTTTATTTCTTTTCTTCTGCTTACTTTGGGTTGAAATGTATTCTTCTTTTTCTAGTCTTCTAAGTGGAAACTTAAATTACTGATTTTAGATTTTTCTTTTCTAATATGTGCATTCAGTACTATAAATTTCCCTCTAAGCACTGCTTTCACTGCATCCTACAAATTTATAAGCTGTATCTTAATTTTTATTTAGTTTGAGCTATTTTTAAATTTCAAATTTCTCTTAAAACTTCTTCTCTGATCTATGTGTTATTTAGAAGTGTATAGTTTATTCTACAAGTATTCTGAAGTTTTCTAGCTTTCTGTTATTGATTTCTCATTTAATTCTATTGTGGTCTGATAGCATATTTTGTATGATTTCTAGTCTTATAATTTGTTAAAGTGTGTTTTATGATCCAGAATGTAGTCTATCTTGATGAATATTTTATGTGAGCTTGAGAATGGAATTTTGTTTTGAATGTAATAGTTTATAGATGTCAATTAGATCCAGTGGAATGATGGTGCTGTTCAGTTCTGCTATATCCTTACTAATTTTCTGCCTGCTGGATCTGTCAATTACTGTTAGATGGGTGTTGAAGTCTCCATCCCTAATACACTATTTTTCATTGCAGTTCTATTGGTTTTAGGCTCATATTTTGACACTCTCTTGTTAGGTGCATACACATTAAGGTTTGTATGTCTTCTGGGATGATTGACTCTTCCATCATTATAATGCTACAATGTAATGTAATGCTCCTCTTTATCCTTGATCTGAAGTCAACTTTGTCTAATATCAGTTTAGCTACTGAAGCTTCTTTTGATTAGTGTTAACATGTTATATGTTTCTCCATCACTTTACTTTTAATCTATAGGTGTCTTAAAGTGGATTTTTGGTAGACAACATATAGATAGTTGGATCTTGTTTTCTGATTGAGTCTCTTTTTGTTTCTGTTTTTGAGACAGGGTCTCACTCTGTCGCCCAGGGTGAGTGTCATGGCTCACTGCAGCCTCGACCTCTTGGGCTCGCTCAGGAGATCCTCCTGCCTCAGTCCCTCCCTGCCTCGCCTGAGTTGCTGGGCCTTTAGGAACATGCCACCATGCCCAGCTAATTATCTATATTTTAATTGATATATTCAAACTATTGACATTTAAAGTGATTATATAGCTGGACTGATATCTACCATATTTGTTACTGTTTTCTATTCATTGTCCTTGTCCTTTGTTTCTTCTTTTTTTTTATCTTCCACTTTTTCCTCTCTTTTCTGGTTTTATTTTGTAAGATTCCATTTTTATCCTTTCTTAACATATCAATTATACTTCCCTTTTTAAACCTTTTTGGTGATTGTTCTTGTGTTTGCAATAGATATTTACAATCAATCCAAGTTCACTTTCTTTTTTTTTTTTTTTTTTTTTGGAGTCTTGCTCTGTCACCCAGGCTGGAATGCAGTGGTGCGATCTCCAGCCCACTGCAACCTCGGCCTCCCAGGTTCAAGCAATTCTCCTGCCTCAGCCTCCCAAGTAGCTGGGATTACAGACGCGCTCCACCACACCCAGCTAATTTTGTATTTTTTTTTTTTTTGTATTTTTAGTAGAGACGGGGTTTTGCCATATTGGCCAGGCTGGTCTCGAACTCCTGTCCACAAGTGATCCGCCAGCCTCGGCCTCCCAAAGTGCTGGGATTATAGGCATGAACCACCATGCCCAACCAACAGTTATTTTTTTTGACACATCATACCCACATATACATGGCAAATGGTAATTAGAAAACAAAACAAACAGGACACCAGCAAGACAGTGGAATAGGAGGCTCCTAACTTTCCTTCCTCCCACAAACACACAGAATAAACACTGAGACATGAATTAATTCCCTTTGAGAGAAATCCAGAAACTAGTTGAGAGACTCCTACCTAGTGGGCAACTGAGATAATAACCACATTGCAGCTGAGACACACTAGTGCCATAAATCTAACCCTGGACACAGTGCCTTATAATTGGTAGGGAACCCCCAACTCCCAACATCTCCATAAAGAGCAAAGAATTTGGATTACACATCTACTCCCCTAACTTTTACAGTTAGCACCTGAGGGGCTAGCTTCTAAATCACCTAGCTCTGAGAGATGATGAGGCTCACCATTCTCAAGTCCCCAGGGACCACAGAAAACAAAAAGATGGTTTTAAATGGGTACAGGAATATTTCCACAGGCTATTCCCTCTGGCTCCGTGCAGACAGAGCAGGCAATAATGCCCAGCTCCCAGTTTTTCCATGGAAAGAGTTAGACTACACATCTAACATCCAGACTTTTCCAGCTGCTGCCTGAGGGTCTAACTTCTAACCAGCCTGCATCTAGGAGGTGACAGGGCAGGCAATCTAGTAGTCTTCTGGGAGCCTGAATAGGTGTGTGGGCACCTCCTGCAGTTCCTTCCCGGGGCTCACTCCAGAGACAGAAACAAGCCTCCAGCTAAACTGCCTGTCTCTCAGAGTTATCTGCCAGCATTTGCTAGGCCCCTGGAGGTGACAGACAGCAAAGCAATGGTTTGAAAAGTGTCCACTTTGAGAGTGCAGGAATTCGCCCCAGCTACCCTTCCTGGCTCAGTGCTGAGCAAATGATGATAAACTCCAGGTCACAGCTTCTACTTGAGGAGAGAAAGGATTGGACTACACACCTAACATCCCAACTTTTCCAGCTGCTACAGGAGGGACTGGCTCCTGTCTTGACTGTTTCAGGACACTAATGGGACTTGGCATACTCTAGTCTTCTGGGGGTCACTAAGAACAAAGATGATGGTCTGTATGACCATAAAGATTTGAGAGGCTTGGGAGGCTGAGGCAGGTGGATTGCCTGAGCTCAGGAGTTCGAGACCAGCCTGGGTAACATGGTGAAACCCCGTCTCTACTAAAATACAAAAAAAGTTAGCCAGGTATGGTGGCATGCACCTGTAGTCCCAGCTACTTGGGAGGCTGAGGCAGGAGAATTGCTTGAACCCAGGAGGTGGAGGTTGCAATGAGCCGAGATTGCGCCGCTGCACTCCAGCCTGAGCAAAACAGCAAGATTGCATCTCCAAATTAAAAAAAAAAAAAAAAAAAAAAAGATTTGAGAGGCATTCAGTACCTATGGCTGGACTGACTGGTAAGTTTCTTCTATATTAGGCCAGTCTGTGAAGACTGGGAGAGGTGGTTGTTTAATGTGCGGAAACCAATACAGAGTCAAGAAAAGTAAAGAAACATAAAAATGTGTTCTAAACAAAAGAAAAAGACAAATCTCCAGAGATTGACCCTAATGAAATGGAGATAAATTATTTACCACAGGGAGAATTCAAAATAATGGTCATAAAGATGCTCACTGGGCCGGGCACATTGGCTCACGCCTGTAATCCCAGTACTTTGGGAAGCTGAGGCAGGTGGATACCTGAGATCAGGAGCTCAAGACCAGCCTGACCAACATGGTAAAACCCTGTATCTACTAAAAATACAAAAAAAATTAGCTAGGCATGGTGGCACACACCTGTAATCCCAGCTACTTGGGAGGCTGAGGCACGAGAATCACTTGCAGTGAGCTGAGATTGTGCTGCTGCACTCCAGCCTGGGCAACAGAGCGAGACTCTGTCTAAAAAAAAAAAAAACCAAACAAAAAAAAACTTCATTCCAAGATGGCCAAATAGGAACAGCTCCAGTCTACAGCTCCTAGTGTGAGCGATGCAAAAGATGGGTGATTTCTGCATTTCCAACTGAGGTACCAGGTTCGTCTCACTGGGACTTGTTGGACAATGGATGCAGCCCACAGAGTGTGAGCCAAAGCAGGGTGGGGCATCGCCTCACCCAGGAAGCACAAGGGGTCGGGGAATTCCCTTTCCTAGCCAAGGGAAGCCATGACAGTACCTGGAAAATCGGGACAGTACCTGGAAAATCGGGACACTCCCACCCTAATACTGCACTTTTCCAACAGTCTTCGCAAATGGCACACCAGGAGATTATATCCCGTGCCTGGCTTGGCGGGTCCCATGCCCATGGAGCCTTGCTTACTGCTACCACAGCAGTCCAAGATCGAACTGCGAGGCAGCAGCGAGGCTGGGGGAGGGGCATCCACCATTGCTGAGGCTTGACTAGGTAAACAATGCGACTGGGAAGCTCGAACTGGGTGGAGCCCACCACAGCTCAAGGAGGCCTACCTGCCTCTGTAGACTCCACCTCTGGGGGTAGTGCATAGCTGAATAAAAGGCAGCAGAAACTTCTGCAGACTTAAATATCCCTGTCTGACAGCTTTGAAGAGAGCAGTGGTTCTCCCAGCACAGAGTTTGAGATCTGAGAATGGACAGACTGCCTCCTCAAGTGGGTCCCTGACCCTCGAGTAGCCTAACTGGGAAACACCTCCCACTAGGGGCTGACTGACACCTCATACAACCGGGTGCCCCTCTGAGATGAAGCTTCCAGAGGAAGGATCAGGCAGCAACATTTGCTGTTCTGCAATATTTGCTGTTCTGCAGCCTCCGCTACTGGTGATACCCAGGCAAACAGGGTCTAGAGTAGACCTCCAGCAAACTCCAACAGACCTGCAGCTGAGGGTCCTGACTGTTAGAAGGAAAACTAACAAACAGAAAGGAATAGCATCAACATCAACAAAAAGGACATCCACACCAAAACCCCATCTGTAGGTCACCATTATCAAAGACCAAACGTAGATAAAACCACAAAGATGGGGAGAAATCAGAGCAGAAAAGCTGAAAATTCTAAAAATCAGAGCGCCTCTTCTCCTCCAAAGGATCACAGCTCCTCGCCAGCAAAAGAACAAAGCTGGACAGAGAATGACTTTGACGAGCTGGCAGAGGTAGGCTTCAGAAGATTGGTAATAACAAACTTCTCCGAGCTAAAGGAGGATGTTCGAACCCATTGCAAAGAAGCTGAAAACCTTGAAAAAAGATTAGACAAATGGCTAACTAGAACAAACAGCATAGAGAAGACCTTAAATGACCTGATGGAGCTGAAAACTATGGCACGAGAACTACGTGACACATGCACAAGCTTTAGTAGCCGACTTGATCAAGTGGAAGAAAGGGTATCAGTGATTGAAGATCAAACGAATGAAATGAAGCGAGAAGTTTAGAGAAAGAAGAATAAAAAGAAACTAACAAAACCTCCAAGAAATATGGGACTATGTGAAAAGACCAAATCTATGTCCGACTGGTGTACCTGAAAGTGATGGGGAGAATGGAACCAAGCTGGAAAACACTCTTCAGGATATTATCCAGGAGAACTTCCCCAACCTAGCAAGGCAGGCCAACATTCAAATTCAGGAAATACAGAGAACACCACAAAGATACTCCTCGAGAAGAGCAACCCCAAGATACATAATTGTCAGATTCACCAAGGTTGAAATGAAGGAAAAAATGTTAACGGCAGCCAGAGAGAAAGGTCAGGTTACCCACAAAGGGAAGCCCATCAGACTAACAGCGGATCTCTCAGCAGAAACTCTACAAGCCAGAAGAGAGTGGGGGCCAATATTCAACATTCTTAAAGGAAAGAATTTTCAACCCAGAATTTCATATCCAGCCAAACTAAGCTTCATAAGTGAAGGAGAAATAAAATCCTTTACAGACAAGCAAATGCTGAGAGATTTTGTCACCATCAGGCCTGCCTTACAAGAGCTCCTGAAGGAAGCACTAAACATGGAAAGGAACAATCAGTACCAGCGACTGCAAAAACATGCCAAACTGTAAAGATCGTCGATGCTAGGAAGGAACTGCATCAACTAACGTGCGAAATAACCAGCTAACATCATAATGGCAGGATCAAATTCACACATAACAATATTAACCTTAAATGTAAATGGGCTAAATGCCCCAATTAAAAGACACAGACTGGCAAATTGGATAAAAAGTCAAGACCCATCAGTGTGCTATATTCAGGAAACCCATCTCACGTGCAGAGACACACATAGGCTCAAAATAAAGGGATGGAGGAAGATCTACCAAGCAAATGGAAAATAAAAAAAAGCAGGGGTTGCAATCCTAGTCTCTGATAAAACAGACTTTAAACCAACAAAGATCAAAAGAGACAAAGAATGCCATTACATAATGGTAAAGGGATCAATTCAACAAGAAGAGCTAACTATCCTAAATATATATGCACCCAATACAGGAGCACCCAGATTCATAAAGCAAGTCTTTAGAGACCTACAAAGAGACTTAGACTCTCACACAATAATAATGGGAGATTTAACACCCCACTGTCAACATTAGACAGATCAACGAGACAGACAGTTAACAAGGATATCCAGGACTTCAACACAGCTCTGCACCAAGCGGACCTACTAGACATCTACAGAACTCTCCACCCCAAATCAACAGAATATACATTCTTCTCAGCACCACATCACACTTTTCCAAAATTGACCACATAGTTGGAAGTAAAGCACTCCTCAGCGAATGTAAAAGAACAGAAATTATAACAAACTGTGTCTCAGACCACAGTGCAATCAAATTAGAACTCAGGATTAAGAAACTCACTCAAAACCGCTCAACTACATGGAAACTGAACAACCTGCTCCTGAATGACTACTGGGTACATAACGAAATGAATGCAGAAATAAAGATGTTATATGAAACCAAGGAAACAAAGACACAACATAACCAGAATCTCTGGGACACATTTAAAGCAGTGTGTATAGGGAAATTTATAGCACTCAATGCCCACAAGAGAAAGCAGGAAAGATCTAAAATCGACACTCTAACATCACAATTAAAAGAACTAGAGAAGCAAGAGCAAACACATTCAAAAGCTAGCAGAAGGCAAGAAATAACTAAGATCAGAGCAGAACCAAAGGAGATAGAGACACAAAAAACCTTTCAAAAAAATCAATGAATCCGGGAGCTGGTTTTTTGAAAAGATCAACAAAATTGATAGACCGCTAGCAAGACTAATAAAGAAGAAAAGAGAGAAGAATCAAATAGATGACATAAAAAATGATAAAGGTGATATCACCACCGATCCCACAGAAATACAAACTACCATCAGAGAATTCTATAAACACCTCTACGCAAATAAACTAGAAAATCTAGAAGAAATGGATAAATTCCTGGACACATACACCCTCCCAAGACTAAACCAGGAAGAAACTGAATCCCTGAATAGCCCAATAACAGGCTCTGAAATTGAGGCAATAATTAATAGCCTACCAACCAAAAAAAGTCCAGGACCAGATGGATTCACAGCCAAATTCTACCAGAGGTACAAAGAGGAGCTGGTACCATTCTTTCTGAAACTATTCCAATCAATAGAAAAAGAGGGAATCCTCCCTAACTCATTTTATGAGGCCAGCATCATCCTGATACCAAAGCCTGGCAGGGACACAACAAAAAGAGAGAATTTTAGACCAATATCCCTGATGAACATCAATGCAAAAATCCTGAATAAAATACTGGCAAACCGAATCCAGCAGCACATCAAAAAGCTTATCCACCATGATCAAGTTGGCTTCATCCCTGGGATGCAAGACTGGTTCAACATACGCAAATCAATAAACATAATCCATCAAATAAACAGAACCAAAGACAAAAACCACATGATAAATAGATGGAGAAAAGGCCTTCGACAAAATTCAACAGCCCTTCATGCTAAAAACTCTAAATAAACTAGGTATTGATGGGACGTATCTCAAAATAATAAGAGCTATTTATGACACACCCACAGCCAATATCATACTGAATGGGCAAAAACTGGAAGCATTCCCTTTGAAAACTGGCACAAGACAGGGATGCCCTCTCTCACCACTCCTATTCAACATAGTGTTGGAAGGTCTGGCCAGGGTAATCAGGCAGGAGAAGGAAATAAAAGGTATTCAATTAGGAAAAGAGGAAGTCAAATTGTCCCTGTTTGCAGATGACATGATTGTGTGTTTAGAAAACCCCATCATCTCAGCCCACAATCTCCTTAAGCTGATAAGCAACTTCAGCAAAGTCTCAGGATACAAAATCAATGTGCAAAAATCACAAGCATTCCTATACACCAATAACAGACAGAGAGCCAAATCATGACTGAACTCCCATTAACAATTGCTTCAAAGAGAATAAAATACCTAGGAATCCAACTTACAAGGGATGTAGAAGACCCCTTCAAGGAGAACTACAAACCACTGCTCAACGAAATAAAAGAGGACACAAACAAATGGAAGAACACTCCATGCTCATGGACAGGAAGAATCAATATCATGAAAATGGCCATACTACCCAAGGTAATTTATAGATTCAATGCCATCCCCATCAAGCTACCAATGACCTTCTTCACAGAATTGGAGAAAATTACTTTAAAGCTCATATGGAACCAAAAAAGAGCCTGCATTGCCAAGACAATCCTAAGCAAAAAAAGACAAAGCTGGAGGCATCACGCTACCTGACTTCAAACTATACTACAAGGCTACAGTAATCAAAACAGCTTGGTTCTGGTACCAAAACAGAGATATAGACCAATGGAACAGAATACAGCACTCAGAAATAATACCACACATCTACAACCATCTGATCTTTCACAAACCTCACAAAAACAAGAAATGGGGAAAGGATTCCCTATTTAATAAATGGTGCTGGGAAAACTGGCTAGCCATATGTAGAAAGCTGAAACTTGACCCTTTCCTTACACCTTATACAAAAATTAATTCAAGATGGATTAAAGACTTAAATGTTAGACCTAAAACCATAAAAACCCTAGAAGAAAACCTAGGCATTACCATTCAGGACATAGGCATGGGCAAGGACTTCATGTCTAAAACACCAAAAGCAATGGCAACAAAAGCCAAAATTGACAAATGGGATCTAATTAAACTAAAGAGCTTCTGCACAGCAAAAGAAACTACCATCAGAGTGAACAGGCAATCTACAGAATGGGAGAAAATTTTTGCAATCTACCCATCTGACGAAGGGCTATTATCCAGAATCTACAAAGAACTTAAACAAATTTACAAGAAAAAAAAAATCAAACAACCCCATCAAAAAGTGGGTGAAGGATATGAACAGACACTTCTCAAAAGAAGACATTTACGCAGCCAACAGACACACGAAAAAATGCTCACCATCACTGGCCATCAGAGAAATGCAAATCAAAACCACAATGAGATACCATCTCACACCAGTTAGAATGGTGATCATTAAAAAGTCAGGAAACAACAGGTGTGGAGAGGATGTGGAGAAATAGGAACACTTTTACACTGTTGGTAGGAGTGTAAACTAGTTCAACCATTGTGGAAGGCAGTGTGGCGATTCCTCAAAGATCTATAACTAGAAACACTATTTGACCCAGCGATCCCATTACTGGGTATAAACCAGGATTAAAAATAATGCTACTATAAAGACACATGCACAGGTATGTTTATTGCAGCACTATTCATAATAGCAAAGACTTGGAACCAACCCAAATGTCCATCAGTGATAGACTGGATTAAGAAAATGTGGCAAATATACACCATGGAATACTATGCAGCCATAAAAAAGGATGAGTTCATGTCCTTTGTAGGGACATGGATGAAGCTGGAAACCATCATTCTGAGCAAACTATCGCAAGGACAGAAAACCAAACACCGTGTGTTCTCACTCATAGGTGGGAATTGAACAATGAGAACACTTGGACACAGAATGGGGAACATCACACACTGGGGCCTGTCATGAGGCTGGGGGAGGGGGAGGGATAGCATTAGGAGAAATACCTAATGTAAATGATGAGTTGACAGATGCAGCACACCAACATGGCACATGTATACATATGTAACAAACCTGCATGTTGTGCACATGTACCCTAGAACTTAAAGTATAATAAAAAGAGAGAAAGAAAACTCTTATGAAACAATAAAAAATGATGGACAATCCAAAAAAAAAAAAAAAGATGTTCACTGGGGTCAAGAGATAAATTCATGAACAGAATGAGAATTTCAACAAAGAGATTTAAAAATTAAATAGTAACAAACAGAAATCACAGCACTAAAGTATACAATAACGGAACTAAAAAATTCAATAGCAGGGTTCAACAGCAGACTAGATCTAGCAGAAGAAAAGGATCAGTGAACTTGAAGACAGGTCATTAGAAATCATACAATCAGAGGGAAAAAAAGAAAAATTGAAAGAGTCAACATAGCTTAAGGGACTTATGAGACACCAGCAAGTTGACCAACTGACAGCAATACAATAGTAATAGATTTCAATACCCCACTTTGAATAATGGATAGAACATGTGGCATGTAGACAGAAAAATCAATAAACAGCTAACTTGGAAAGCACTATAGACCAAATAGACCTAACAGACATATTTAGAACTTTTCACTCAATAGCAGAAGCACACATGGAACATTCTCCAGGATAGATCATATGTTAAGTCACAAAACAAGTCTTAACAAATTCAAAAAGATAGAAATCGTACCAAGTGCCTTTTCCAACCACAATGGAATGAAGCCAGAAATCATTAACAGCAAGAAAATGGGAAAATTTACAAACACATAGAAACTAAATAACATAATCTTGAACAACCACTGGGCTCAGTAGGAGATCAAAACAAAATTAAAAAAAAAAACTCCAGACAAATAAAAATGAAAATACAACTTATCAAAACTTATCAGATATAGCAAAAGCAATACTAAGAGGGACGTTTATAGTGACAAATACCACATAACAAAACAAGAAAGCTCTTAAATAAATAAACTAGATTTCACGGGACTAGAAAGAAGAACAAACTAAACGCAAAGTTAGCAGAAGAAAGAAAATAATAAAGATTAGTACAGAAATAAATCAGAGACTAGAAAACAATAGAAAAATAATAAACAAAACCAAGAGTTTTTTTTAATACAAACAAAATTGACAAACCCTTAGCTAGATAACTAAGGAAAAAAAGAGAAACTCATAAATAAAATAAAAAAATGAAAGAGGGCATTACAACAGATGCCTCAGAAACAGAAAAGATCATAAGGGATTATTATGAACAATTATATGTCAACCAATTAAATAACCTAGAGTGAATGGATGAATTCCTAGAATAAATAGCTTACCAAGACTGAATCAAGAATACAAAGCCTAAACATTTTAATAACAGATATGGAGATTGAAGTAATAATAATTTAAAAACCTCCTGTCATAGTCTGTTTTGTGTTGCTATAACAGAATACTTGAGGGTGAGTAATTTATTTTAAGACAAAAAAAGAGGTTTATATAGCTCAGTTTGGCAGGCTGGGAAGTCCAAAATCAAGCATCCCATCTGCCTTGTGCTGCTTCAACTAATGGTGGAAAGCAGAAAAAATGGGGAATGGGTGTGTACAAAGAGATGAAACACAAGAAGCAGCCTCACTTTATAATAACCTGCTCTCATGATAACTGAGACTGCATTAAACCCTTCATGACTGCATTAATCGCTTCATGATCCAAATGCCTTTTAAAAGTCCCACCTTTTAGCACCATTACATTGGCAATTAAATTTGAGTGTGAGTTTTTGTGGGGACAAACTACATACAAACCATATAGCACCTCTCAAAAAAGAAAAGTCCAAGACCAGATGGCTTCACAGCTGAGCACATATATCTAACATATATTTAAAGAAAAATTAATACCAATCCTTCTTAAACCCTTCCAAAAATAGAAGTAGAGATAATATTTCCAAACTCATTTTATGAGGCTAGCTAGCATCACTCTGATATCAAGGCCAGACAAAGATTCCACAAGAAAACTAAACTACAGGCCAATATCTCTGGGTGAACATAGATGCAAAATTCCTCAATAAAATCATAGCAAACTGAATTTAAAACACATCAAAAAGACTATACACTGTGACCAGGTGGGGTTTACCCCTGGGATACAAGGGTGGCTTAAAATACCCAAATCAATCAATGCAATATATCACATTAACAGAGTGAAAGATAAAAATCACATCATCATAGATGCAGAAAAAGCATTTGACAAAATTCAACATCCACTCAAGATAAAAACTCTCAACAAAATAGGTATAGAAGAAAACTACCTCAACACAATGAGGGCCATTTATTAATATCCCACAACTAACATCATAATCAATAGAGAAAAACTAAAAGCTTTTCCTCTAAGATCTGGTGCAAGGTATAGATTACCACTATCTCCATTTCTATTTAACATAGCACTGGAAGTACTAGCAAAAGCAATTGGACAAGAAAAAGAAATAAAAGGCATCCAAATTGTAAAAGAAGAAGTAAAACTGTTTGCAGATGGCATGAGTCTATACGTAGAAATTTCTAAAAACTCCACCCAAAAAGCTATTAAAATTAATAATTAAATAAAGTTGTAGGATATAAAATTAACATACAAAAGTCAGGTGTGTTTCTTTACACAAACAACAATCTATCTAAAAAGAAAGTTTTACAAATATCTACTACGATTGGTACAAAAATTTAAATACTTAGGAATAAATGTAACCAAGGAGGTAAGAGATTTGTACACTGAAAACTATAAAACATTGATGAATGAAACTGAAGAAGACAAAGTAAATGAAAAGGTTTATGGATCAAAATAATTAATATTGTTAAAATGTCCATAATACTCAAAGCAATATACAGATTCAACACAATATCAAAATTCCAATATTTTTCACAGAAATAAAAACATTCTAAGATTGCATAAAACCACAAAAGACCTTAAATAGCCAGGGCAATCTTGAGAAAGAAGAACAAAGTTGGAGGCATCACACTACCTGACTTCAAAATATACTATACAAAGCCATACAATCAAAACAGCACGGCACTGACATGAAAACAGACACATAGACCGATGGAACAAAATAGAGAGCCCAGAAATAAATCTACACATTTAGAGTCAACTGATTTTTGACAAGCGTGACAAAAATACACATTGGGGAAAAGACAGCCTCTTCAATAAATGGTGTTGGGAAAACTGGGAACCCACATACAAAATAAAAAAATTACACCCTTATCTTACACCTTACATAAAATTCAACTCGAAATAGGTTAAAGACTTAAACAGAAGACCTGAAATTGTAAAACTCCTAGAAGAAAATGTAAGGGAAAACCTCCTTGACACTGGCCTTTGTAATGATTTCTTGGACAGGACACCAAAAGCTCAGGAAACAAAAGCAAAAGTAAACAAGTGAGACTACATCAAACGAAAAATCTGCACAGAGAAGAAAACAATGGGCAAAACGAAAAGGCAACTATTGGTTGGGAGAAAATATTTGTAAACCATGTATCTGATAAGGAGTTAATATCCAAAATATATAAGGTATATATATATATACACATACAACTCAATAGCAAGAAAACCAAATCTAATTAAAAAATAGGTAAAGAACCTGAACAGATATTTTCCCAAGGATGACATAAAAAATGGCCAATAGAAAAAATGCTCAACATCTCTAATCATCATGGAAATGCAAATCAAACCCACAATGAGACATCATCTCAGACCTGTTAGAATAACCAATTTAAAAATATAAAAAATAACAAGTGTTGGCAATGTAGAGAAAAGGGAACCCTTTTACATTATGAGTGGGAATGCAAATTAGTACCGCCTTTATGGAAAACAGCAGTATGGCTGTTCCTCAGAAAATTACAAATAGAACTACCACATGATCCAGCAGTACCTTTTCTGGGTATATACTGTGAAAGTAAAATATCTTGCACCCCCAAAATCACTAGCTAAAAGGAAAATTCAAGCTGGAAACTGCTCAGTGCAAACTTGCCTCCCATTCTATTCAAAGTCATCCCTCTGCTCACTGAGATAGATGCATACTCTGATTGCCTCCTTTGGAAAGGTTTATCAGAAACTCAAAAGTAAGACCTGGCAGCCCCCTCCCTGCTTTGTCCCCGCCTTTCTGGATGGAACCAATGTACTTCTTACATATATTGACTGATGTCTCATGTGTCCCTAAAATGTATAAAACTAAGCTGTGCCCCGATTACCTTGGGCACAGGTAGTCAGAACTCCCTGAGGCTGTGTCACAGGGGTGTGTCCTCAACCTTCGCAAAATAAACTTTCTAAATTAACTGAAACGTGTCTCAAATTTTCGGTGTTCACATCCGCAAAGGAAATGAAATCAGGATCTCGAAGCAATAACTGCATGCCCATCTTCATTGAAACATTATTCACAATAACTAAGATATGGAATCGACCTAAGTGGCTGTCCACCAATGAATGGATAAAGCACATATAGTTTATACACACAATAGAATATTATTCATCCTTAATAAAGAAGATCCTGCTGTTTGCAACATGGATGAACCTCGATGTCATTATGCTAAGTGAAACAAGCCAGACACAGCAAGAAAAATACTGCATGATCTCTTATGTGGATTCTAAAAAAGTCAAATACATAGAAGCAGAGTAGAACAGTGGTTACCAGGGGTGGAGACGTATGGAAATGGTTAAGATGTTGGTCAAAGGATACAAAGTTGCAGTTCTATAGGATGAATAAGTCTAGAGATGTAATGCATAGCATAACTATAGTTAATACTGCATTGTGCATTGGAAACTTGCGGAGAGTACATTTCATGCGCTCTCACCACTTACACAAAATAGTAACTGTGAAGAGATGTATTATGTTAATTAGCTTGACTGTAGAAATCATTTCACTGTGTACATGTATCAAAACATCATGTTGTACACCTTAAATATATAGTTTTTATTTTTAAAACACTGTTTGGGATTAAAAGCCCAGCTAATTCTGCCTTAATATCTCATTCTTATCCACAATGTCCACCCATAAGAAAGACGCCCGATACTCCGTGTAAACACACACTCCCCATCTCCCATACAAATTTACCTTCTAGAGAGAGCCCTTTTCCCCAAACTCTCCTCTCAAAACACTCTGAAGCACAAGGTCTTTAGCCTAGTTAGACATTTTCTGAAAAACTTAGTTTAACTCAGCGTAGAGACACCATGAATTTCAGAGACCCAGTCCTGGGCCTGCTTCAGTTGCTTTAGCCTAGAGTTTCAACTCCCAGGTCCCGGGGAGGGATGCTCCAAGGAAGAAATAGAGGCCCTATTCCAGGGCTGTTTCTCGCAGACTAGCCACAGAAAATGCAGCCCAGCGCCACTTCCTTTCAGTAGCAACACGTTTCCAACACGTTTGTTAAGCGGGAACGGAAGTGAGCGGAAAGGAATGCGTTTGGTAAATCCCACTTTAAGGATTTCGTAATCCTCCCAGGGATTCCCACCACCCGCACTCCACTCGCAGACTGCGGGCCTTCCTCCGACGCTGGGAGAAGGACCCTGGGAGAGGCAAGGGAAGGGCTCCGGAACCAGCGCAGCAGCGGGACGCTAGCCCGCCCACACGGCGGCCACTTGAAGGTCCTCCAGGGAACACCTGAGGCAGTGGGAGCGTCTGCCCTTTCCTAAGTCTCCTTGGAAAGAAGTATTCGCTTTCGTTTCCGCAAACAAAGCATGCTCCGCGCTTTCAGGACCGGTGGCTCCCGTGGAGACCGCAGCGGAACCCAGTCCGCCTTCGCACGCGTCCGGGGGAGAAGCGGCCCCAGGACTAAGGGCGCGCGCCCGAGGAACCGGTGCTGTGACGACCAGAGCAAACACGCCGGATGTTCCTGTGTAGGCTGTGTAAGGAGTGACCGGAAGTAGAAACTGGGTGCTCCAGTGGCGCAATCGGTTAGCGCGCGGTACTTATATGGCAGTATGTGTGCGAGTGATGCCGAGGTTGTGAGTTCGAGCCTCACCTGGAGCATTGTTTTCCAACCCAAAATAGCATTACTTGAAGTGCCTTTCCCCCTGTAATCCGACTCCATCGTCTTTAACGTGTTTGGAATTGTGTACACAGTTTATTGTTATTGGTTTCCTTAGCCTTTTTAGAACCAAGCAACGCCAATTACCAACAAAATCCGTTGCGCCGCAGTGAGTTAGCTACCTTCTATCTCCACTTTGTTCTGCACGTCGATCTCAGGTAAAGAACATCATCTCTTTACATCCTTCTTTCCACTTTGTTCTTAGGATCATCGATCATCGTTCCTCGGGGAGCCCCTGGCACATACTTAGTGCTAAGAAACTCCCATCAGGTGATAAGCATTGAACTCCATTTAAGGAAACTCAAAAGTGGGAAATAGTAAAAGGTTCCTGTCTGATTAAAGCTCTGATTGGGAGGGGTGTGGGGGGACTGATTTCTGACAACAGTGTCCCCTCCAGTATTTTTCCCCCACTTAATTTTACCCTGATAAAAATCAACAGTCATGGAAGATCTAGCAGCTTCTATCAACTGAGAAACAGCACCTGGTGTCCTCAGGCATTCAATTACCTGGACTTGGAAAAGGATGAGTGATAATAGACCCAGAAACCTGAAATCTTTAGAACAGCATTACAAGAATAAGCATATTGTTGTGGCTGAGGTGGGTAGGAAGTAGATAGGGATTTTGACTTTAAAATAGGCTTCCTCTCCCTATGACACCTGCAGTTTGCCTGGACATAGCTTTTATCATATGCTTCCCAACTCTTCAGCAAGAGAGGGAATTGAACTGAGTAATTGGGAGTTGTTTTCCTAGCTATAAAGATTGCCACAAATCTGAAAGCACATGTGTCCCACTTGGGACACGGAGGTGAGTGGAATTAAGCTGAGCACAGATAACTCTCTCTTGAGATCTGTATTCCTAAATGGGTCTTGCATGTATCTGGACATTGTCCACTCACAGACTCTCTCCTGAGAAAGGTTAGCGAGGTCCCGTTCAGGAATGCACCAGATGATAATAAAGTGAACACCTTCTCACTTTGTAGCTCTTGCTAAGCCACTGGAGTACCTTAAAAGCTATCAAAGCATAATCTTCAAATATATATATAGTAACTAATCACCAAATATTTATTTAAGTCACTAATGAGAAAAGGAGGAGTATGGTAAACTGATTGCAATGGCAATAGAAAAGGCTGGTAAAGGTATAGTCAGTGGGGGAAAAATAATGCTGACATGAGATTGCAAGTTTAAGTAAAAAACTAGCTAATGTCCTATGAGGCAGTGAAAACTATGGCCTTTGGGATTATTTTTATCTAAAAGACAGAAACTAGTTGCATCTTTACTGGGTAAAAATCATTCAAAACTTAATATTCTACATAATGACATTTAACCTTGTAATCTATTTTCTAATCATTAGTAAATAGTGACCTCCAAAAGTTCCATTAACTTAGAGGATTACTTGCCCCTTCAGTGGGCTTGTTAGACAATGCTCTAGTATTATTTTGAAAGAGTACTAATATCTTTTTTTTTTGCCTTATATTAACTTTTGGATATTTTTTCTGAATAGATTTAGCACCTTAATTCAATTATTTTATCTCTGTTCCTGATCAGTTGAAGGTATTATTGAGTGTCTTCAGACAGTGTTTAAAAAATGGTGACCTTTGCCATAAAGAATTTTTGTGAACTGGCTTAAGCCAGTTTTGTGATACACAACTTTGGGTGCTTTTGGTAGATGTCTGTAGGCAGCTTACTTTATAGTACTTTATACTATACCTTACTTTATAGTATAAAGTAAGGGATAGTTAGCTACAACATACCAACGAGTTATAGTGATAGAAGATCTTCAACAAAATTTTGTACATATATAGTCATTTATTAGAAAGCAAGCAAAAAACAGTCATAAAACCTGTTCTCTAAGCTCAATGAAGTTCCCACGGTTTTGTCATTTGTTTTTGTTGTTGTCATTGTTGTTTTACTAACTTCAAAACTACCTTTCATGAAAGCTTTGCTTGAGGCAAATGCAACAATATTTCAGAGTGAGGATTCAGCCAAACATCTCTAAGAAGAAAACCTCTGGACACAGCAGGACACAGAAATACTGAAATCTCCAGCCTAGGGCACCATCCCTCAAGTTAAAGGCTAGAACTCATTTAATTTTTATTCCCTTTGAACAGTGTCTCTTAAATATTTAATTCATTTTGGGAACCGCTAATTTACCCAGGGAGACTATATTTCTAATATTTTTTTCCCTTCACACCATGGGATCTTTGTTTCTAATATATTAATTAACTAATTAACAAGGACAAATTTCATCAAAGAAAACCAGTATCCAATATTCCATTATACTAATTATGGCAGCCTCTGGTGTTTATCAAAAATAAAGAAAACTGAAGTACTTTTGGTGGCCACTTCAGCAGTGTGGTTTTATTATGTTAAATGACAATCCTCCAGATTGTGATATCAGGGCAAGGGACTGACTCTAGAATCATTTAAAATCATTTTAATATACACATTCGTATTATACAGCACAGTTGATTAAATTATTGCTCCTTCTCTATATCCACACCCTTTTTGTGGGTGGAGAGTTTGTCTTCACTTGTGGTAGACTGGATTCCTGAAAATGACTGAAACAGTATCCCTCGTTCCCTTCTGCAATGTGAGCTTGGCACCTCCTCAGCTAGAAGTAGAGTCTGTTTCCCTTCACCTTGAATTTGGTTTGGGTTTGTAACTACTGTGAGCAATGGAATGCAGTAAAAATAACATTTTGTGATTTCTCAGCCCAGGCAGTAAGAAAACATATCAGCTTCCACTTTTACCTTTAAGGAGAAGCCAGCTCCCATGTTAAGAAGTTCAAATACCTAGAGACTGCGATGGTTTGCAGAGGCTCAAGCTAACCACATGGAAAGACATGGAGAGATATTCCTTGCCAACCCTCAACTACTCCAACTATTCTAAGACATCAAACCTGTGAGTGAAAAAGCCATCTCATACCTTACAACTCTAGCAGATGCCACATAGTGTAGAGATAAGCTCTCTCTGTCATTCTCTGTCAAAATTGTAAAATCATAAGCAAATAAATAATCACAGTTGCTTCAAGTTACTACATTTGAGCATAGTATTTTAAGCCACTGCATTTGAGATGGTTTGTTATACAGCAATAGATAACTAAAAAACAAAGTCCCTTGATTTAGACTTGTCCACTCAACTTGCTTGGCCAATGGAATGGGGTAGAAGTGATGGTGTGCTTATTCCCAGCCTGGGCCTTAAAAGGCTTTGCCTATTTCCACTTGCCTTCTTGTACTTCTGCTATTGTCATAAGAAAAACAAACCGCAGGTCACCCACCGGTCTGAAGAGGAGGATGAGAGACAAAGAAAAAAGTTGTCTGGCTGCCTCTGCTGTCTACAGATTGAAGAAGATCCATCCAGCTGAGCCCAGCCTAGACCAGCTGACTTCTCCAATAAGCCTGTATGAAATAAATGCTTATTGTTATGTGACCTTGAGCTTTGAAGATAGTTTGTTATGCAATAATTGTTGATTCTTTCACCCTGTCTTTGTTGAACTGTTATAGACGTCTTAATAGGAGTTCACAATTCAGTTATTCCGGCATGATCACAAACTCATTAGGAATAGAACAGAGAATATGAAAAGCATCTATTTTAGTTCATTTTGTGTTGCTATAACAAAATACCTAAGACTGGGAAGTTTATAATGAACATAAATTTATTGGCTCATGGTCTTGGAAGCAAGGAAGTTCAAAATCAAGGGACTAGCATCTGGCGAGAGACTTCTTGTTGCCTCACCTTATGGCAGAAGGTCAAAGAGTGGGTGGTGGGGGGCAGGGGAGAGAACAAGAGGGGGCAGAACTCTTCATTTTATAAGAAACTCAGTCCTAAAATAATGGCATTAATCCACTCATGAGGGTGGAGCCCTCATAATTTAAACACTTTTTAAAGATCCCACTTTCCAATACTGCCCCACTGGGGATCAAGTTTCCAACACACCAACATCACTTTATCCATATTTTCCCATCAATATTTACCCTACCCTTTCTGGAGAATAAAAGGGAAGCAAGCAAATTTCATGTCCTTTGCAAAATTGTGGTCTGTAACCTCAAAGCCTATGGGTAACCTTAGGCCTAATAACTCCCTCATCCACCCAGGGTGTTTTTGCATAATTTCCCCTATCTCCTTAATAGCCAAACTCCATGATAATGCTTCATTCTCAGCAGATAATCTTACCTTTTACTTCACAAAGAATCTAGAACCTCCTCTGATTTACATTATTCCCCTCTTCTTTACATACATTTATAATTCATCAGCATCAGTTACGAGCTTTATTGCTTGCCTGATTTTTTAGAGATGTCTCTCTGCTCATTAAAGACTAAACTCTTCATCTGCACCTCCAAATGCCAACTCCCCATGATGACTTAACCTTAAAATAAAATATGTATAAACACACAGTCTGTCCTCTTTGAATGGACATACACACTCACACTCTGCATGATCCAAAGATCTACACGTCTACTCTCAAGAGACTGCTCTTTTTTACTCCTTCCCTTCAACATGTACTTCCAGAAAGAGAAACCTAAGTGAATGCCTTTCCTTTCCTTACAGTCTTCAACCCACTGCAATCTGGCATCCACCCATCATTTTACCAACTGCTTTGTTAAGGCTACTGAGATGACATCCTCACCAAGACATTTTTAGACTTTTTTTTCTAAATTGTACTCAACTGTATTTGATGGTTGACTAATCTTTTGTAGGTGAGATTTTACTCCTTGGTATCTCCAATTCTCCAGTTCTTTCAGCTCTCCCCTTTCCTTTGTAAATATGAGTTTTCCCCCCAAGATTCAGTCATTGGTCTGCTTTTTAATCTTAAGCTAAATTAAATCTATACTGATGAATTTCAGAGATATGTAACTTGCTAAAATTTTGTGTATTTCTTTTATGTATGTAAACCACTGCACAAGATTAAGAATCATGAATCTATATTACATAATATTCATTGTTTAAGTTACATTCTATACCAATATTCAGGAGAGCCATCTTCCTGTGCTCCAAATTCTTATTTCTGACTCACTTCTTGATATCTTCACTTGCACATTCCACATTGCATTACTAAGGGTTTTCCAGAGAAACAGAACCAACTAGAGATTTTATATATACGTATAGAGAGATAGGTAGATAAATAGATTGGCATTTATTTCAAGATAGTAGCTCACATGATTGTGGGAGCTGGCAAGTACAAAATCTGCAGGGTAGGCCAGCAGACTGAAGACTCAGGAAAGTGTTAATGTTGCAGCTTGAGCCTGAAGGCATCCTGGAAGCAGAATTCCCTCTTCCTCAGGAAACTCCAGTCTCTTTCTCGTAAGGCCTTCAGTTGGATTAGATGAAGCCCGCCCATGTTATAGAAGGTAATCTGCTTTACTTACAGTGTACTAATTCAAATGTTAATCTCATCTAAAACATGTGTTCACAGCAACATCTAGACTAGCATTTAACCAAATGTCTGGGTACCATATCCCAGCCAAGTTGAAGTGTAAAATGAACCATCACATACAGGTATTTCAAAATTAATATGTCTAAACTTTACCTATAATATTCTCCCTGAAACCTGCTCTTCTCCACTATTCATTTCCTCAGTAAATTACCACAGTCCTACCACTGAAGATGGAAACTTAGACCTTCCACAGCCCTCTTCCTTTATATTCAATTGTTCACTAAATTCTGTCATTCCTACTTTCTTCACTGAGGTTACTTTTTTTTTTTTCCCCAGAGGCAAGGTCTCACTCTGCCACCCAGGCTGGAGTTCAGGGGCACAATCATAGTTCACTATAACCCCCAACTCCTGGGCTCCCATGATCTTCCTGCCTCAGCCTCCCCAATGGCTAGGACTACAGAACTGTGCCACAGAGAGACGGAGTCTTGCTATGTTACCTAGGCTGGTCTTGAACTCATGGCCTCCAGTGATCCTCCTGCCTCAGCCTCTCAAAGTGCTGGAATTATAGGCATGAGACATCATGCCCAGTCTGAGTTTATCTTCTGCCATTCTTTTCTCCCTAGGTTTGTCACCACCATACATTCCTTCTTTCTGTTTTTCTAACACCCCAAGCTCATTCCTGCCTCAGGCCCTTTAGTGTTGGTATTCCCTGTGCTTTCAAGCCTTATCCTATTACAAAGGTGGTGCTAACATGTCAGAATTTTTTAATCATTTGAGTCATAGCTCAACTGTCGCCTCTTTAGAGAGGCCTTTACTGACTACTCCTTATTTTGTTAACAGCTGCATTGAGGTATAATTTACATAACATAAAATTCACTAATTTTAACTGTACAATTTAATGATTTTTAGTAAACTTACAGAGTAGTGCAATTATCAGTATGAGTCAGTTTTAGAACGCTTACATCTCCCCAAAAGAGAGATTTCCAACCTCTCCTTCATGCCCATTTACAGTCAATTTTACCTCCAACCCCAGGCAAGCTTTAATCTACTTTCTGTCTCTATAGATTTGCATTTTCTGGACATTTTGTGTAAATGAAATAAGTAATATGTGGTCTTTTGCATCTGGACACTTTCACTTAACATAATGTTCTTGAAGTTCATCAGTGTCGTAGCAGGTATCAGTAATTTGTTACTTTTTATTGCTAAGCAGTATTTCATTGTATGGATATACCCCTTTTACCTATCCATTTACCAGTTGATGGACATTTGGATTGCATCCATCCATATTTTGGCTTATATGAATAATACTGCTATGAACATTTGCATACAAATTTTTGTGTGACATGTTTTCATTTCTCTTGGATACCTGGGAATAGAATTGCAGAGTCATATGATAAATTTATGATTATCTTAAAGGAACTGTTTTCCAAATAGGCTGCTCCATTTTACATTTCCACGAGCACTAGATGAGGGTTCCAGCTTTTCCACATTCTCACCAACCTTGTTATTGTCTGTCTTGTGTTTTTTAAAAAATAGCCATGCAGGTGGGTATGAAGTGGTACTCATTGTGGTTGTGAACTGCATTGTCCTAATGACTAATGATGTTGAGATTTTTTTTCATGTGCTTAATACCCATTCATATGTCTTCTTTGGTGAGCTATTAGAATATTTTCCCAGTTTTAAATTAAGCTTTTTTCCTATTGAGTTATAAGAGTTCCCTATATATTCAGGATGCAAGTTCTTTATCAGATATATGATTTTTAAATGTTTTCCCTTAGTCTGTGGCATGGCTTTTCATTTTCTTAATGGTGCTTTTAAAAGTGCAAATGGTTTTAATTTTGATGAAGTCCATTTATCAATTTTTGGTTTTTTATGAATTGTGATTTTAGTATATATCTAAGACCTTTTTGCCTAATTTAGCATCATGATGATTTTCTCCTATTCTTTCTTCTAAATGTTTCATAAACTCTTATAGTTAGGTCTTCTATCCATTTTGAGTTAATGTTTTATGTGGTGTGAGTTAAGGGTCTAAATTTATCTTTTTTGTTGTTGTTGTTGCATGTGAATATCCAATTATCCCAGCAGTATTCGTTAAAACAAAACAAAACAAAACAAAACAACTGTTTTTATTTTGTTTTGTTTTTTTCCCAACTGCATTGGCAACTTTGTTGAAAATGAATGGAACACAAAGGTAAGAGTTTACTTCTAGACTCTCAATTCTGTTCCATTTATCTACCTTTATGCTAGGCTATACTGTCTTGATTCCCTCAGCAGATGATCTTCCATTTTAAAACCTGGAAGTTTAAGTTCTTAGCTTTTGTTCTTCTTTTTGCAAGCTGCTTCCACTCTTCTGGATCCTCCACAGTTTTAAGTAAATTTTAAGATACACTTGCCAGTTTTTGCAGGATTTCTATAAGAATTGCATTGAATCTATATGGTAATTTAAGAATTGCCACCTTAACAATATGGGTCATACTGAGTCTTTTAATCCGTGTTCATGTTCCATGAACATGGACTACCTCTTCATTTATTTAGATCTTTCATAATTTCTCTCAGCAATATTTTATAGTTTCCAGCAAAGGGCTTTATACATATTTTGTTATATTCATTCTTAAGAATTATATTCTTTTTAATGCTATTGTGAATAGAATTGTTTTCTTAATTTCATTTTTAGGTTGTTCATTGATAGTATATAGAAATACAGTTGATTTTTAGATATCAATCTTGTATCCTTCAACCTTGCTAAAACTATTTTATTTGTTCAATGTATGTGTGTGTGCATGTGTGAGTGTGTGTGTATGTGTGTATTTCCTGAAATTTTTGGAATATAGGATCATGTCATCTGTGAATATAGATGATTTAATTTCTTTCTCTCAAGTAAGTATGCTTTCATTTCTTTTTCTCTCCTGATTGTACAAGCTAGAATATACAGTGCAATAGTGAACAAAAGTGGCAAGAGGAGACATACTTGATTTGTTCTCAGTCTTAGGGAGAAAGCATTCAGTCTCTTATTATTAAGTATGACATTAACTTCAGGTTTTTCATAAAAGCCCTTTATTAGGTTATAGAATGTCCTTATATTCCAAGTTTAATGAGATTTTTTACAAGGAATAGGGATTGGATTTTGCTAAGTGCTTTGTATCTGTTGAGATGATCAGTGATTTTTTTTAGCTTTCTATTAATATGGTGCTTTATTTTCAGATATTAAACCAAATTTACATTCCTGAAATAAATTCCACTTAATCATGTTCCACTTAATCATGGTGTATAATACTTTTTATATATTTCTGGATTTTGTTAATGTTCAGTTGATGGTTACTGCGCTTATCTTCATGAAGAATATTAGCCTGTAGTTTTTTTTTTAATTAGGTCTTTGTGGCTTTTCCATATATATATGTGTGTGTGTGTGTGTATATGTGTATATATATGTGCGTATATATGTGTATATATGTGCGTATATATGTGTGTATATATACACACATATGTGTGTATATAATACATATATGTGTATATATACGTGTGTGTATATATATACATATACACACATATATGTATATATATACGTGTGTGTGTGTGTGTGTGTGTGTGTGTATATATATATATATATATATATATATATATATATATATATATTTGTTTGTTTGAGACAGAGTCTCACTCTGTCACCCAGGCTGGAGTGCAGTGGCGCAATCTCGGCTCACTGCAAGCTCCGCCTCCTGGGCTCAAATGATTCTTCTGCCTCAGCCTCCTGAGTAGCTGGGATTACAAGTGTCTGCCACCACGCCCAGATCGTTTTTGTGTGTTTTAGTAGAGATGGGCTTTCACC